>NC_000010.11:78779458-78930974 GCF_000001405.40 Homo sapiens
CAGCCTGAGGTCACCCAGCTACAGGGACACATGCACAGATGCCCCCAGACAACTGGGCATACCACAAGTTCTTGAGGACAGAAGAGATGACTCATGCGCCAAGCAGCCCTGGCTGGGAGCAGGCTCTGCCCAGCCTGCACCCTGCCTGGCATGGCGAGGAGGGGCTGCAGGGCATGGGATGCTGTGATGCACTGAGCACTAACCACTCCAGATTATTAGGCTGGATTTTCATACCTGACCCTCTTCATTCCTCAACTATAGCCCTGAGAGGCAGGCATTGTCATGCCCATTTTACAGACGACAAAACTGAGGCTCAAAATTATACAGAAAGTTTATGGGTTTTAAAAATGATACAGCCAGGATTCCAGTGAGGTCCATCTGACTGAAGTTTGTATTTCCTCTCCTTCTCCCTCCCCAGGTAGTCCCTGCCCTGTCAGCTAATGTTTTAGCAAGGGTGACCCACACTCTAAGGACAGTGTGGAGCCTTCATCTGTGTCCCAAGCTGGGCCCAATGAGAGATGAGGGTGTCAGGGTCAGGAAGCCCAGTACTTGGGCAGCCAGGTGGGCTCAGAGAGGAGGGAACTCTATTTAGGTCCCAAGGATGAGTAGGATTTGGCAAGGCCCCTTGAGGACAGCACACGGGAACATATTTCCAAAAATTATCCACGCTGTGTGCTCAGAGGCTCAAGGAGAGAGTTGAGGGTTTGGTTGGGAATTATCTGGCCACCAGCTTGGGGCTGTCTCTCAGCGCTGGAGAAACCAGATCCCTCCAGTCCAAATCCCTCTTCCTCCCTCAGACATACCCCACCCCAGGGTTCTGAAATTTTGTTATAACACTTAGAGACTAGCTGGGAGGCATGTCCCAGGGGGCACAGAATGGAGCTGGGAGATTTGCCACAAGGACCAAGACCTGGCTTTGGCACCCAGAGGCTGGGCCAGCATGGGTAAGTCACTGACACCCTCAGATCTCAGTGTCCTTATTCACCAAATAGACATTGGTTCCCTTCCCGAAGCTGGGAGAAAGTGGTCCAAGCACACCGAGATGGACCACTCCACCCCTCACATCTGTGGGCATGAAAATCTCAGCTCGGCCTGCTTCGCTCAGTTGTCCCCATCTCCAGGCAGCATCTGCAGCCCACTCACTGCATCTTAACAAGGGCCCGGCACTGTGCCTCACAGGAGCCCAGGCAAGGTCTGGGGAAGGGGACTGAAGACTGCTGAGATGCAGAGCATCTGAGCACTCCATCCCGGAAGTGCCAGAGTGCTACGCAGGGTTGGGCCACCAAAGGTTTGTCCTCCAAGGAGGGTCCCCAAGACAGAAATAACTCAGGAAGCCCTGTCCTGAGTGTCCCTGGGTGCTGCTGCTTGGGCCTGCACTGCCGCATGGTGTTGGTGTCAGCCAGCGGCCTGTGAGAGCCCTGCCAGGTCATCGGGAGGTGTGTGAGGCTCTGGGCAAAGCCCTAGCTTTGAAGTCAGATGGGTGTAGGGCCCGAAGCTGGCCCTGCCAGCCACATGCAGGCAGCGAGGCATTATGCATTCCTGTTCCATGGTGAGGATAACAAGTATCTTTAGAGTTGTTGTAGGAATTAGGACCAAGAACAACTACAACAATAATAATAGCTCTCCCTTTTTGAGATCTGACCATGTGCAAGGCAGTATTCCAAACCCTGTGCATGCAGAGTTCTTCTGATCCTCCTAGCGGCCCTATGAGCCAGGTCCTGTGCTGGCAGGACCCCTGCATAGATGAGGAAACTGAGGCACGATAACAGTAAGGAGCTCATTGTGCTCACACAGCCAGCTGCTGGTGGAGCAGGGCTCCGACCCAGACCTCTCAGCGGCTGCCTGTGCTCTTATCCAATAAGGCGTGGGAAAACTCCTGCCTTGCAGTTGGTGATCAATAAATGTATCAATAACTCATCATTACTGCCCTTCCCGATGATGGAGCGCAGGCCCCCGCGAGGCCCAGGGCAGGAAGCACTGTGCTGCTGCACTCCTGGGAACCAGGTTCACATTGGCTGGGACCCCTGGAGACGACTGGGACACCACAGGCTCATTCCAGTGGCCACTGTGATGGCCCTCAGGAGGGCATGCTCTCCTCCACCCATGGCCTCTGCAACAGACACAGGCCTGAGGTTCCAGGTCTTGGGAGTTCCTGGCCGCTCTGAAGATCAGGGTCACAAGCAGGAATGGCCAGGTAGAAAAGCAGCCCAGAACTATTTTGCTCCTGAGGCTCCACCCCTCCTCTACTGGATGCTGCCAGCGGGGATTGTGCCACTGTCTAACTCTGCCTTCTGATGGTCTGTGTTCAAACATTTTATGGACAGGAAGCCATCCTGTGGAGCCTGTGGAGATGGGAATGGGGGTGGGGCCAGGGTGGGAGGTGTGCAAAGCCTTTTCTGTCCAGCCATCCCTTCCCAGGCTAGGAGAGAAAGGAAGCTTTCAGAACAAGTCAAAAGCGAACAGGGTCCAGGATGACCTTTTGGGTTCTTGTGTCAGCAGAAGGTGTCCCAGGACTTTCTCTCCTGTTCCCTTTGTCTCTGTATTTACAATGAAATGGAAGCATCTGGAAAGGAGAGAAAATGCCCTTTGATATGTGGGGTTCCCCCAGGTCCAGGAAGCTTTCGGCTGTGACAACAGACTCCATCCAAGGCCTTCCCAACCCTGGGGGTTTCTCCTAAATCCAGTGGCAAATAACTTTCCATCGTGCCCACCCACTGAACCGAAGGAGGAGGTGCACACCTCAATCACGCTTCACAGCCCCCTCGGCTAGCGCTGGCCTTTTACTGTTATCCACTGATTAATTTTCATTTAGTCATCTTATTTTCAAGCTTACATAAATGCATTTTAAAAGAACAGTTTATATCACTATCATAAAAGGAAAGCTAGTCTTTTTCTAAAACACTGAAATGACTATCTGTTATCTTGTGTGAAGTGGTTTCCAGTGTAGTCCAAATCACCCTGCTCACCACAGGGAATGCTGCTCCAGCTTGGCCCTCCCTGCCCACCCAGCCCATCCCTCTCAACGGTTTGCTGCCTCACCTTCAGGATGAGTACACCCACATCTTTAGGCCCCTCTGTCGCTTGCAGACCTGCTAATCCTGGGCCACAGCCTCCTCAAGTCCTCCACTCCACTGCTTCTCCTCGGAAATGCCTCCAGCACCAGCTGAGCTCAGCCGTGGAGGGTGCACCATTGGTTACCATGCGGGAGCCCTGTGGACAGCAAGGGCATGAGGGGAGCGGGAGGTAGTGCCTGGTCACCTGCTGCCACAGCCACATGCACAGCTTACCTCCATTCCTGGGACATAGTCAGGAGTTTGCCTTCTGCAAACTATTTCTCAAGAACCAAGTTTCACCCTTAGTTCCAACTCAAAAGTGCTCTTCCTAAAGCAACTGAAATGCCAGCTCCAGAATTATCTGTACCAACTAGATTCCTCCGTGGTGACCCTTGTCAAGTCTCATTATTTATTTCACAATAAGGGAGCAAATTCTCCTTGGTGGCTGTTTCCCCTTTACCCCTCTTTCCAATCCCCCTGTGGCTGGGGGGGTCTCCTGTCCTGCTGCATCATCTGCCATCTTTCCAATGCCACCGTGCATAGCAAGAGCACAATGTGCTGGTTGTTGTGTTCTGAATGTGCCTCCCGAAATTCAGATGTGGAAACTTAATTGCCATTGTGATGGTATTAAGAGGTGGGGCCTTTGGGAGGTGATGAAGTCATGATAGTCCTCATGAAGGGAACTGGTGCCTTTAGAAAGAGATGTGAGGGAGCTGTTCCCCTTTCCACATGTGAGAATGCAGCAATAGATGCCATCTTGGAAGCAGGGAGCAGCCCTTACCAGATGTCGCATCTATGAGCACCTTGGTCTTGGACTTCCCAGCCTCCAGAACCATGAGAAAAAATGTCTGCTGTTTATTAATTATTAATTACCCAGTCTCAGATTTTTTGTTAGAGTAGCACAAATGGACTAAAATGCTGATGAAATGCCTCAATGAATGAAGGTGCCCTCAGGTGAGCCCCCAGCCCTATGCTCTTCCCTCTCCCTGAAGGCATGCACAATTGGCCAAGTGACTGGTAATAATGACCTAACCTTAACTGAGCACCTACTGCATTCCAGGCACTGGGCTGGAGCTTTTCTCACAATTTCCCACAACAACCTGGCCAGCTGGGCTTTCAGAATGTTCCCATATTCCCCTCTACTTCCCACTGCCTCCAGGGCTCCCTCCTGGTGCAAGCCAACACCATCTCACCAGGCACAGCAACAGCCCCTTGAAGGATGTTCTTGCTCCCACTCCTGTCTCTCACCTCCTGTCTTTTCCCAACACAGAGGTCATGAGTTCCTGTTAAAATGTAAATGAGATCACATCTCTCTTTAAGATAACATGCTCTTTTGACTCCCTGTCTCACTCAGCACAAAAGCCAAGGTCCTGAGCAGGCCCCACCTGGCCTGCCCCAGCCTGCCCTGCCTCCAGCATCTCACACCTGTCTCTTCTCCTCTCCCACTGCTCTCTGCCTCACTCACTCCATCCCAGACCAGGGGCTTCCCTACTGTTCTGACACACCTGGCATATTTCCACCTGAGGACGTTGCACTTGCTGTTCTCTCTGCCTGGATCCCCAATCCCCTGGTAGACATGTCGCATGCTCCGTCACTTTCTCCTGGTCTGCCCAAATAGCACCTTCTTGGTGGATCCTTCCCTGGACATCTTACCTGAGATGACACCCCAACCCTACGTTTCATATTCCCCTACTCAGATGAAGTTTCCTTCATGGTATTTAGCATTTTCTAATATTAACTTGAATTCTAACTACTTTATTGTCCATCTTTCCCTACCATTCTTTCCTACCCCTGCCACCAACTTGCCCTTTTCTACTAAAATATTGACTTCCTGAATGTGTGGACTTTTGCCGGATTTGTTCTCTGGGGTAAACTTGAACATCGAGATTGGCTGAAGCCAGGGACTCAGGAACTATGGTGTATTTTATTATGAGCAGCCTGAGGTTCAGAGAAGTAATGGATTCTGCCCAGGTCACAAAGCTGGTAAGAGATGAAGCTGTTATAGACACCCTGGTCTATCTGTCTTCCATATCAAGCTCCCTCTAATACCCATGACAGTGGCTCTATCAACCACGGTGCTGTGTGTTTCAGTCCCTGTGCAAAGCAGGAGAAGCAGGAAAGACAGCTGCAGCCAGATTCCCCCAGGACTTGTTGGTCTCCCAGCATCACAAGTTTCCAGGACAAGAGGCCCCTTAGTGGAAGCAACTGACAAGGGCCAATAATTCAGTACCAGTGCTGGGAAAGTAAGTTTTTTTTTTTTTTTTTTGCTCGTTTTGTAAGAGAAGAAAAAAATGCCATTTGGCCTCAGAAAGATGTTCTTGCTGCCAAACACATGATTTTTGCACATGGTGAGGACGTGTGATTTTTACATATGTATTTTTTCCCTTTTAGTAAAAACAGTTTCATCCCTGGCAAGAAGGTGAAAGAAAGGGAGTATAAAAAGATTGCCATGGAAAACCATCACTTTGCCATTACAGAGACCAAAAGCCAAGAGTTTAGAATCTCCATAGATGGAAGGGAACAAAAAAAAAAGAGAGAGAAGGAGTGAGACAAAAGATCTCCAGCGTTTATGAAATAAGAACTAGATCTGGGGCTGACTCCCTTGTGTCCACTGTAGAGCACCCCATGTCTTCAAGAGTGTTTAGATGTCTCTCAACTCTGAGGTGGCAGAGGACGGGCAGCATCAGTGCAATCTTCCTACCGTGACCAGGGCAGACATTAGTAATCAATCACAGCATCCCTTCCTATTAAGCAGGGATGCAGCCTCAAGGCACTCCAGGAAACCCCTACCCATTGATTAGAGTTGGCAAGTAAGATGAAACAAGGTTGCTGTTCTGCCTTAATCAACCCTTACATTTTGCATGTGAAGTAATTGAGACACAGAGAGAAGCTGTGAGCTGGCAAAGGTTACACAGAACGTTTGCATAAATAAGTCCTTTTCCAGTTTTGCTGCTAGCTCTCAGGCCACGATTTGTTCCACTAGGCTCCCTGTCTGCCGAGTGTCTCCCAAATCTCTTCACGGATGTGAGAAGTTGTTGGGTTCCTGAACACCTAACAAGCAATGCAGAGAATTCTATCCGGAGCTTAGATTTTCTGCCTCTATGGACTTTTCCATCAGTGCCAGAGCTATGGGCCATGATCCTCTGCAGAATCACAGCAGGTCAAAATGGCCTCCCTAAAGGACACCAAAGCTCCCTCCCAGGACCATGGCCTTTCACGTGTTTATTATGGAAGTCACTCTTAAAAGGGAACAGCTAATAAACTGTGAAGGGTCAGCATTCCCACAGGAAATTGTCACCACTCTAGAGATGGTTCTTGTATATTTTTCCTCAGTTTAAGAATAAAATTTTCCATGAGATTAGCATTTCTAAAGTGTTTTCTGTGAAACACATTC
Organism: Homo sapiens; assembly: GCF_000001405.40. Classification (NCBI taxonomy): domain Eukaryota; kingdom Metazoa; phylum Chordata; class Mammalia; order Primates; family Hominidae; genus Homo; species Homo sapiens. Next base: position 78,785,906 of record NC_000010.11, read on the forward strand.
TCAAGATGTCCTAGAAGATTTTTCACAAAGATAAGCAGAGCTAAAATACAAATAAAATAAAATAGAAAAGACGTGTGGCCAACGATCTTGGAACTCAGCACAGGATAGCTCTTCTGTGGAATCGTGCTGCATCTTAGAGTGTAAAAGGCCCTGAGAAGTCCTGCCTAAAGTTCTGGACTTTATAGTTTTCAGTATGCACGTGTCCACAGAAACATCTTTGCACATAGCGTTTACGAAGATTCTGCTGGATGTTCTTTCAAGAGCACTGGTTTCCATGCAGCACATTCAAGGGGGAAAGAATGCAGGAGTCCAGAGTCAGAAGAATTGAGTTTGAACCCTGGCTATGGATCTCTGACGTATTTATCTAAGGACTTTGTACTTCAGTTTCTACTGCCTAGAGTTAGTTTGGGTTTTTAAAATACGTTTATTGTTCAAGATAATATAAGTTTACTATAGATAATTCAGATAACATAAAAATGTATGCAAGAAAATTAAAATAGCTCATCATTTCATCATACGTCGATAACCATTGTTAATACTTTGATATATTCCTTCAAGTCTATTTAGTCTATTAAAAGGATCTGCAGGGACATACTTAAAAAATATTATTATAATCTGCATTGTTTTATATCCTACTGGTTTTTGCTTTTAATAATAGGGAAAAGGCCAGTCACGGTGGCTCACGCTTATAATCCCAGCACTTTGGGAGGCTGAGGCAGGTGGATCACTAGGTCAGGAGTTCAAGACCAGACTGGCCAACACAGTGAAATCCCATCTCTACTAAAAATACAAAAATTAGCTGGACGTGGTCGCGGGTGCCAGCAATCCCAGCTACTTGGGAGGCTGAGGCAGGAGAATCGCTTGAAGCCGGGAGGCGGAAGTTGCAGTGAGCCAAGATCGCGCCACTACACTCCAGCCTTGGCGACAGAGTGAGACTCCATCTCAAACAGAAAAAAAAATAGGGAAAAAAAAGTAAGTGACCAAAATATCCAACAAAGCTCCCTGAGGACATGAATTTAAGTGGTATCATGGGATTTCATTATTTGAATATTATCTGAAAGCTTTGGGGCCAGATATTTCAGAATTTAGAATTAATTAGGTTTTGAAAAGGTAAAAATCTGTTTTAAAAAAAGGATACATTAGGAAGCACCTGCAGTGGGACCTCAACAGTAGCCTAGAATCAAATACAGTATTTGGACAAGAAAATATTTGAATATTCTCACTAACTGAGATAAATGATGACTATTAAAAAGATTCCCTTCAGTTCAGTGTCAGATTTTTGCCACCAGTGAAATTGCAGCAAACCTAATGCAGATCTGTTAACTGTAATTGCATTGTGGATTCTGGAATCCTGCTTATCATGTTGTGGACTTGTACTGTGATTGCCAACCAAGCCAAACCTTCATTGTTGACTATTTGGACTGTTTCCAAATTTTTGTTATTATAATAAGTAGGGCTGCAAAGAGCATTCTTGTCCATGAAATTTTTGCACATCCGTGGTTGTTTCTTCAGGATGTATTCCTAGAAACTGGACTCCTGGGTCACAAAGAATTAATGTTTTTAAGATTTTTCGTCTATCTGCCAAAATGCTCTCCAGAAAAGCTGAGTAATTTATACTCCCAGCATTACTGCATGAAGGGGGGTTTCTCCTTCTCCATCCCAACCCCCTACTCCCAGAAACAGCAACACTGGGTATTATCAGTGTTTGATAAATGGATTCCAATTTGAAGAGCAAAAATTTTCATCTCTCTTTGAGTATTACTAGCAATATTCCACTTTTTTCATATGCTAACTGAATGATTATATTTCTTTTCTTAATGGTCTTTATATATTCCACACAAATCTTTTTATTGAGATGTTCATATTTTTCTTCTTGACTTACAAGAGCCTTTTGTGGATTAAATATATTAAAACACTTTGAATACCACATATGGGGTAATATTTTCCTAGTCATGTTATTTGACTTTTAATTTTTTATGGTGTTTTAATAGTTCCCCAAATTTTAAAAAAACTAAAATGTGGAATACATGTGGAATACAGAACACTTAGAAACGTATAAGAATGTCAAACAAAAGAGCTTGCCTGTCCACCCAGAGTAACTACACTATTTTAGTGTAGAATTTGCTAATATTTTCTGTTTCTTTCAAACAAGGGTTAGCCTGCTTTGCCTTCACTTATTCTTGTGAATAATTTTTTCATTTTAATAAATATTCTTCTATAACTCAAGTTTTATGACTTCACAGCATTCCATTGTATCCGACCATCATTTACCTAAATATTCTCTGGTTTTAGATGTTAAAGTTATTTCCAGTTTTCATCATTCCTTGGAATGCTGGGATGAAAAACATTGAACCAACATCCATTCTGTCTTCTCTAATTATTTCTTTATAATGAATTTCTATAACTTCTGGGACAAAGGGCAGGTGAATTTTACATTTTTAATATTTTTCTAGTAATTGATATTTATTAGGCTTTTTTTGAAATATAGAGTGATTTTTAAGAAAATAAGAATCATTTATAATTTTCCCATCCAGAAACGGCTCCTGTTGAAAGTGTTACACTTTTGTCTATACCTTTACATCTGTGAGTGGATGTTTGTACAAACAAAACAGAGTTGCATTTTATGCGCTGTCTTCTAAATTCAGTGTACGAATGTAATTTTCAACCAAGATACTTCTACTGGCCACATAATAGCACGTTGTTTGGATATACCTCCGTTTATTTAATCAATTGTTCATTCCAAGAAATTTTAGGGTTTTGTTTTCCAAACATTTGAAGTTATCTGCAATACTGTGGTGATCATTGTGATGTTCTTAATAATTTTCTCAAGATAAAGTCTTACACATAAAATTAGGGAGTCGATGATACGTAAATTTCTGAAGACTTTGATATACGCTGGTGGAGTACCCCATGGAGTCTGACCTACTTTACACTCCCTCCTGTGATATGTGACATTGCTTCCCAGAATCCTGACCAGTATAGTAAACTATCTTTTATTTAAAATATTCGGTGAAATGCTAGATCTTGTTGCTATTTTAATGTGTTCTTAATTATAAAACAGCAACATCGAACATTTTTTCATATGTTTACTTACCGTTTGTTTTTCTCTTCTGTTAATTACTTATTTCCATTTGTCTATTAGGAGTGTTTATCTTTTTTATTGTTTTGTAAGCTTTCTTTACAAATTAAGTTTATTAACATTTTATATGCCACATTTTTGGAAGTATTTTTTCCAGTCATACATTTGCTTTTTATGCGTGTAGTATGTAACAAAAATAACTGTGTATAGTCTGACCTATCAAATTTGTCTTTATAATATCTTCTCTCAACATCTTCCTTAAAAAGACCCTTTCCAGTCCCATATTTTATGTAGCAGACTGACCTACATTTTTTTCTAGTGCCTTTGTGACTTTATTTTTATATACGTCTTAAATTCACCAGGAATTTATTTTAGCTTATGACTGAGCTAAGGATTGGAGTTAATTTTTTCCAACATCATTTATTGAATAATCCATCCTTTCCACAAGGACTTGAAATGTCACCATTATCACATACTAAATATTTATACATACTCCAGTCTGTTTCTGGGCTTGCAGCTCTGTCCCATCAATCTCTCTGTCTATTCCAGGGCTGAGAGGAGAGGGGTTTCTGGGGTAGAACAGGCAGGACTTGATAACTGATTAGACATGGGGGGAGTTGAAGATGACTTCAAGGTTTGCGACTGAAACCTGGATGGATGTGACACCATTAATCAAGGAAATGGAGGCAAGGAAGGGTTCGTGATACCCTAAGTCTCTTCTCACTTCAATCCATCACTCACATTTCAGGCAGAATAAAATTTTTAATACATATTTATTTAATTTATTGGAAAAGTAATGCATGCACATGTTTAAAAAGATTCAATTCATATAAAAGGTTTCCAATGAAAAGTAAGTCTCCTCCAGAACATGTACTCCTAATTCCCCTCCATAGAAGCAAACACTGTTAATAATTTTTTGTGTGCCTATATAGAAATAACAATTTCTGTAGAAATTGCTTCCCAGAACCCTGGCCAATATAGGAAACTATCTTTATTTAAAATATTTGGTGAAATGTGAGATCTTGTTGCTATTTTAATGTGTTCTTAATTGAAATGTGTTCTTAATTTCTATAGAAAGCAACATTAGGTACATACAAGCACAGATAGATAACTAGCTAGCTAGATAGATAGATAGCTAGCTAGCTAGATAGATAGATAGCTAGCTAGCTAGATAGATAGATAGCTAGATAGATAGATAGATAGATAGATAGATAGATAGATAGATAGATAGATAGACAGACAGATAGATAGACATCTTTATGCAGGCATATTCACACACATCTTTCAAACAAATTGGACCATACTACAAACACTACACAGCACCCTGATTATTTTCAACTCAATGATTTATCTTATAAATGATTCTATATGAACACATGGACACAGGGAGGGGAACAACACACACTGAGGCCAGTCAGCGGGAGGGGGTGAGGGTGTGGGGGCAGAAAGATTATCAGGATAAATAGCTAATGCATGCAGGGCTTAACATCTAGGTGATGGGTTAATAGGTGCAGCAAACCACCATGGCACACGTTTACCTGTGTAACAAACCTGCACGTCTTGCACATGTATCCCAGAACTTAAAATAAAATAAAATATTTTAAAAAGAAATGATTCTATATGAACACAGATAGATCCACCTCCTTGTTTTTAATGGCCGTTTGAAGTTCCACTGAGTAGTACACCATTATTTTTTACTAACTTTCCATAGGGGGACACTTTGGGAGTTTCTCCCAATTAACTTTTGTTTTTTAAAGATGGTGTCTTGTTATGTTGTCCAGGTTAGATTTGAAATCCTAGGCTCAAGGGACCCTCCTGCCTCAGCCTCCCATGTAGCTGGGACTATAAGCATGTGCCACCACACATAGCTTAATTACCTTTTCTTTAATTAAAAAAAAAAAAAAAAAAAAAAACAGAGTCTCTACCAAAAATACAAACATTAGCTGGGCGCAGTGGTGCGTGCCTGTAGTCCCAGCTACTTGGGAGGCTGAGGCAGGAGAATGGCGTGAACCCGGGAGGCAGAGATATCCCTGTAGTGAGCCGAGATCGCACCACTGCACTCCAGCCTGGGCAACAGACCGAGACTCCATCTCAAAAAAAAAAAAAAAAACAAACAAACAAAAAAAAAAAACAGAGTCGACCATGTTTCCCCTCTGTTTGAAATTTTTCCTGGCTTCGGAGTTTGAGACCAGCCTGAACAACATAGTGAAACCCCATCTCTACTAAAAATACAAAAAATTAGCTGGGCGTGGTGGCATCACTTGTAATCCAAGCTACTTGGGAGGCTGAGGCAGGAGAATCACTTGAACCCGGGAAGCGGAGGTTGCACTGAGCTGAGATCGTGCCACTGCACTCCATCCTGGGTGACAGTGCAAGACTCTGTCTCAGCCCTCTGACTCACTGCCTTAAACTCCCCGCACATCTTTCCACACCCCTCTCAGACCCTGTGGCCTCTTAAAAAGCAGGTCCTATTCACTTAAAACTGCTCTTCTTTGTCCACTGAGGAACTCCTATTTTTCTTTCAAAACTCTGCTTAGTGGTGACCTCCTCTGTAATGCCTTCCCTTAATCCCCCTCACCTCCCTGAACATATGCAGTGTGGGGGTGTGTGCACACACATATACATGCATTACACACATACACACACATTATCACACATCTTACACTCACGTACATACAGTTATTCACTGCATATGACATTTCGATCAATGACAAATGGCATATATGACGGTAATCCCATAAGATTATAATGTCGTATTGTAACTGTATCTTTTCTGTTTAGATACACAAATACTTACCGTTGTGTTACAATTGCCTACAGTAGCCAGTGCAGTAACATCCTGTACAGGTTGGTAGCCAAGGAGCAATAGGCTCTACTATATAGCCTAGGTGTGCAATAAGCTGTACCATCTAGGTCTGTGTAAGCACAGTCTGTGGTGTTTATACAGTGATGAAATAGCCTAATGACAAATTTCTCAGTATATATCCCTGTCATTAAGTGACACTCCACTGTAAACACATACACAAGCATACACACGCAAACATACACATATACGCAGCCAGAACAAATGAGTTACTTCATCCTCAGCACTCCAGGGGCATGTTGTTCATACCCCTGAGGGCCCTGAACCTTACCCCCTTCTAATTACTATTCATTCTTACCACTTTAGCTCAACAGGTGTCTCCTCTAGGTGATTTTTCTTGAGCCTTCAGATAGAACCAACCACTCCACCCCTCACCTCACTATCCCACACCTATCTTGGGACGCTAGGACTCCACTTCTATTATTTTCATGGCTTTTTTTCTTTCCTGGAGAGTAAAACTCATAAACTCTATGAGAGCAGGCATTATCTCCTGGGTCGCTGCATTTCCCAGAGTCTGACGCTGTATCCGATGGACATCAGGTGCTTGGCTGGAAAGAAACTCAGCTGGGACAGAGCAGGGTGGCCGTCCTGTTGTTTCTGGCAGTGCCCATTCTGACTGATCAGTGCTCTACCCTGTTTTATATGCCAACACCATTGTGGAATGTCACCACGGTACTCAGTAAGTGTTGATTGAACTGTCATCATTACTTACATGTCTATAACTCATTAGACTGCCTCTGTCTCAAAGTTGGAATCTATCATACTAATTTTTGATTCCCCAGGACCTAGGTAAGAGCCGAACATGTAGTAGATACTCAGTAAATGCCTGCTGAAAGAATTGAGCAGATGAGTGCAGAAAGCAACAAATTTGCTTTGGAGCCCGTGGTAGCACCCCGGCATGGGTTCCCACCCCTTCAGTTATGGGCCTCCACCTTTAGGATCAGGACAAAATGCCTTCACATGGCCACAAAGCCCTGCACTGTGTGGCTGCTGTCTGTCTGTATTAGTTATAATCATCGGTGAGTGGCAGAAGCCCCCAAGCTACTGTAACTTAAATATGAGAGAAGTGTGTTTCTCTCTCTTGAACACAAAGAGATCAATGGCTGGGGGCAGACCATGCAGGTCCGTGGTCATCAGAGACCCTGACTGCTTCCTTTCTGTCATTCTGCACCCCCTCATCCAGGATCCTGCCTGTGGTTCAAAATGGCAGCTCCAGCTTAGAAAAGCTGTTGGAGTTCCACCGGGTAGGAAGGACAAATGGACAGAGAAGGCTGTGCCCTTCCCCTTAAGAACATTTCCCAAAAGTTGAACAGAGCACTCACATCCTGTTGGCCAAACTTAGTTACATGCCCTTGTCTAGCTGCAAGGGAGGCTGGGAAATATAGTCTCTATTCAGGCAGCCTTGGGCCCAGTAAAAATAAAAGTTTCTCTAGTAAGAAATTAAAAGGTGGGCCGGGCACGGTGGCTCACACACATAATCCTAGCACTTTGGGAAGGTGAGATGGGTGAATCACCTGAGGTCAGGAGTTCTAGACCAGCCTGGCCAACATGGAAAAACCCAGTTGCTACTAAAAATACAAAAGTTACCCAGGCATGGTGGCACATGTCTGTAATCCCAGCTACTGGGGAGGCTAAGGCACGAGAATTACTTGAACCTGGGAGGCAGAGGTTACAGTGAGCCAAGATCTCATGCCACTGCACTGCAGCCTGGGTGACAGAGTGAGAATCTGTCTCAAAAAAAAGAAAAAGAAAAAAGAAATTAAAAGGAGGCTAGATGTTGAGGGGCAAAGAGTAGACTTTTCCACACTCCCTCTCCACCCTGATCACACGCAGCTTGCCCCCTTCTGTTCCTCCCCTACTCCTCCTCTACCCGCCACCTTCTTCCTGCCACACTCACTGCTGATATGAGCTGCTTGGTCATACTGGTACCTCTCTCAGGAATGCTGGCCCTCCCTCTTTCCCTAATTCACTCCTCATTCTCCATCAGAACTAAGCTTCACCTCCACCTTCCATAAGAAATACCCTTGCTAAGTCAAAGAACCCATGATTAGATCTCAAAGAATCATATGTCTTTCCTTTAAAACACTTGTGAAAATCTCAAGTTTATATGCATTTGCAAGATTATTGTATTAATATCTGGCTTCATCGTTAGATGAATAACCCCACAGGAAAAGAACACGTCCACATTTGTTTACTGTTTTGTCTCTAGTGCCAAGCATAAGCTCTTGTCAAAAGTAGGTTCTCAATAAATAAGTGTAGAGTGAGTTGATCAATTAATGATGCATATGTGATGCAGTTTCAGATACAGCTCTAAAGCTAGGGCAAGATACTAGTAGCTACCTGCACAGAACTGAATGAAATTGTGGAAGTAGTTACAAATCCCCAAAGAAGAAGAGACAGAGAGAGAAGAGAACAAATACAGTTTATATTTGTGGCAGAGATGCATGAGGCAGGAAAATAATCCAGAGAATAGAAGAGGGGAAGAAAGCAGACATTTGCTGAGCCCTGTGCTGGGCTCGGTATGAGAATGATCTCGTTACCCTTGGCAATAGCCCTGAGCCCCAGCTCTTGGTGCCCTGAGGAGATGGACAGCCCATGCCTCAGTTAAAGGATTGTACAATTTGTTCAGGAGAGATCAGGGATGCCTGACCCTAAGTCCATGCCTTTCGATGGGTAAGGCTATAGGAGAATGTGATCCAGAGGAAAGAGAAGAGGATTAGAAGAGGACAGAGTTCAAGAAACTAAGGCTATGGAGTCCTAAAGCTCAGGAAGAACCAGAGGGACCGCAAGCCGAGAAGCACCCTTGACTCTGCCCATTAGAGGCCACTGTGGCTGAGCAAGCCCAGGAGAGGTGAGGGCAAGTCCCGACAGCAAGTGACAAGCACCTTTGAAGCCTATGTCTCCGGGGTCTGTATCTTCTTTAAGAATTTGTGAGTTAAAAAATAACAGACAAGGATGAGGCCTGGGCCCTAAGGAGAGGGTAGACAATGCCATCGAGAAACCCCCAAATCTCAGCGGTGTAACCCAACAGAGCTGCACCTGGCTCCTGTCATTGTGTGAGGAAGGCCTGGCAGTGGTTGTGCATGGTCCTTCCACAAGTGGTGACTTGGGGACCCAGGCTACTCCCACCTGGCAGTCCTGCATCTCAGACACCTTGACCTCTAGCTCCACAGAAAGGGGGAAACATGGAGAAGGACCACCTGCTCATCATTGCCTTGGACAGGAAGTAGCATCTCACTCCTGCTAAATTTCCATGGCAAGCTTTAGGCGTCTGACCACTGCTAGGGCTGTGAGCACTGAAAACGTGCTCTAATCCAGTGCTCTGGACAAAGAAATAGCTTCGTGAATGCACAGCACTGTCTCTGCCTCACACAGCTTCCTAGGCTGTAGGAGGACTTGGCTCATTTTCAGCTAGAGGCAAAGAAACTAGCAGAGAGGGTTGGCAAAGACTCTGGCTAGAAGAGAAGATGGTCCCTCTGGGAGAGGAGGAAGGGGGAGCTGCACCAGGCCCATCTAAGGGGCTTGCTTGCTCTCCTTTTCTCTTTAACATCGTGGAGGTTGAGGTCTCAGGTCCTGGGGCCAGACTGCCCAGCCAAAAATCCCCCTTACCAGCACTTCCAAGCCAAGTGGCCTTGAGCAAGCTACTTAACCTCTCTGTGCCTCAGCTATATCATCTGTAAGATGGGGATGGTACTGCAGCCTGTACCATAGTCGTGTGGATTAAGTCCATTTATTTATACAGTAGTGCAGAGAGTATCTAACAACTGCCAACTGTCAATATAACACATGCATGTGTAAAAATACTCAAAGCACTTGTGAAGATACACAAACAAGAGTGAGTAACCCCCCAATCCCTCTCTTCCTTCTCAGAGATGGCCATCATCACAGTTTCTTATATATCCTTCTCAAGTATTCTATACCCATATAAGCAGTTATTTGTAATATATGTGCATAGATGCTTTTACACAAATGGATGAACACAACACAAAATGCTCTGCAACTACTGTTTCCCACCAGATGCCGTTCATAATCACCCACCGAAATGCTTGGCTAACATTTCATGCACACACGCACAAGATTTATGTAAACAATCCCCTCCTATTGAGTATGGGGTAGTTTTCAGCTTTTTAATGCTATTAATAATATAAACAATGTTACAGTGAACATCCCGGTATCCATATCTTTGAGCACCTGTGAAATCCTGTCTTCTAGAGGTGGAACCATTGAGTTCAAAAGTAAACGTGTTTTAATTCATAAACCCATTCTCCCAAATTGTCCTCCCTGAAGTGGCACCTTCTTCGCTTCTCCCACCAGCTCTGGATGAGGGCACTGGTTTCCCATGTGATAGATGTCTGTTTAGCGAGGAAGCAGGGCTGTTTCCTACATTTGGCACCATAGAGTCTATGCACATCTTTGAGACATGGAAACACACACACATGCTCCAAATTAGAAAAGAATACCACAAACTCAAAAATGAATAAATATTTAATTAAATGGCTCCCAAATAGGAAGGTGGTTTTGTAATGAGACAAAGAGCAGAGGCCGTGATAGGCAGGGGCTGCCCTGCTCTCCTCTCCTTCCTGCTCCCACATCGTATGACCTGGGCAAGGGCTGAGCTTAAGTGAGCCTGGACTGCCACCCCTGTGAGATGGAAATACAGACAAGTCCAACAGTGTGGGCTGTTGCAACGATTAAAGGAAATCAGGTATACACATAAAGGACCCAGGATCATGCCTCACACACGCAAAATCCCCAGTAAATTTTACCTAGTCATTAGTATGTCAAAAGGGCACCACAAGTCAAGTCTAACATAGTTATTTATAAATTGTATACTTACAGTGAGATGCAGGTGCAATGTCATATTCCAATATGATGAGGGGCAAGTCCTCCAACAGCAGGAGTGCTTGGGCCCTGCGATAGCTATGTGAGCCAGTGAGGGAATAAACAAGCCAGCAGTGATGGACAGAAGGAGGTGACCTGGGCAAAGCGAGAGGACTCCTTCCTTGTGGCTCCTGCTGAACGCAGAGAGACCTCAGCTACCTTCTCATTTAGAAGAAGGGCAGGAGACAAAAGAGCAAGGGGTTAGCAGCGAGGCTCCCGCTGCAGGAGACGTAGTCGTGAGGAGCCCGAGGGAATGGCTGGTGCCTCCAACAAGGCCGACTCCCACAGGAGAAAGTCAGCGCATTTTCCATTCTCTATCAGTGTGTCTGTAACTACATATTACCAGTGTATAATTTATTTATTTTTCATATCTACTGTTCAATATTTGTCTCCCCCTCTGAAATGTAAGCTCCCATAGGGCAGGGATTTTTGTCTGTTTTATTCACTCACTGTGGGGACTTCTATTCACTGGTTTGTCTGATATGCTTAGGAGTGCCTGGCACATGGAAGACTCTCAATAAATATTTGCTAAATATGATGAATGAAATAGAAAGTTTCACTCAGGAGCTAATACATTTTTAACACATCTCTAAAGCTTGCTTATCTCCTTTGTGAACGAAGAGGCAGAGGAGCTCTCAGGCTCAGAATCTTCCGCGGCAATAATTTAATAAACTTGCTTGGGTTTCATTATATTTTTTGTGGTCATCTTTTGTGGTGGTCACTGGGGCTGTTTATGAATATTCGGATTCCCCTCTCCTGCCAGGCTAGGATGATGGCACCTACAGCCCACTTTGAATTTACTCAGGCCAGGTGACTTGCTTTGGCCAGTGGCATGTGAGCAGAGATGACATGTGTCCCCCTGGGCAGGTGTCTCTAAGAGCCAGTACATGGAAACAGGTACCAGATGGGGATGGCCTCATTCTACATCCTTGGGTGACTCTGGGGAGCAGGGCTCTCTTGCTGACCACCTTTGCATATGTACCATGAGAAAAAAAATGCCTCGTTGCAATCAGTTACCGAGTTTGAGATCACTTGTCATGGCACAACCCAGCCTGTCCTGTGTTATATTAATTTCACAGAAAGATGGGAGTTGCCAGTGGGGTGACAGATAGCACATGGAACAAGTGAGGGACCTGCTGAGACAGAAATGAAAGTCCTGGACTCCTGTTCCCTCCATGGGCAGCTCCTACAGGTTGTCCTTCCTGTCTCTTCAGACACCCCTGCAGGGCTCTGGACATTGGACACCATGTGAAGTTATAGAAAAGATGGGAGCCAATGTGGCCAGGGCTTCTCCCAACAGAGGCCAGAGGAGGTCGAGCTGAGGATGGAAAGATGGAAGAGACTTCTAAGGGCAGGGACCTTGGAGTAGCCATCTCTGTAACCCTAAGTGTCTAACACAGAGCCCTGCCCATATAGAAATGTTTCATGGATAAATGAATTAATTTTAAGCAAAGAAGCTTAATGTAACAATGCTTCTTGAGGCTCTGAAGATGGACAAACGGGCTCAAAACCTGGCTCCACAACCTATCTCCTGTGTGACCTTGAACAAGGCCTTTAAGAAATTGGAGATTCAATCTCCTGAAAAACGGCGATAGTGATATCTATTTATAAAGTTGTTGTGAGGGTTAAATGAAGTAATGACTGCATAGTGCTTCACTTAATGTCTGCAGGTAGCAAACCCCAGAGGAGGGTTAGGAGCTAGGAGCACGGGCTTTGGAGCCAGACTTGGGTTTTTGTCCCAATCTGACAGTGACCTCAGGCAACTTACTTTTTCTTTGAAGTTCCTTCATTGCCAAATGGAGATAGTGCTATCTGATTCACAGGCTGATTACGGGCATTAAATGAGATGGCACAAAGCACCTAGACAGTACAGGCAGTTGAAAGTCCCCTCCCTCCTTCCTATATTCCAGAACAACGAGGGTGCGAGCTCAGAACTAGGATCATGAAACCCCCTCTGGGTCCTGTTTCTGGTTCTCATCTCTCCAAAGCAGCAGCTTGTCTTGATAAATGAAGCCATGCAGGAGAGTTAATGGGGGATAGTGGGTTAATTTGTTACCTCCCTTAGGGTCAAATTTAGAGTTGAACCTAGTAGTCCTCTAATGGCTCTGTTCTGTCAAGAGGAAGACATGGGTGGGCAGAATGGGGTACTTAATGGTGAGATCATGCTTCTTTCTTCTTTGTGTTGACCTTCAATGCAGCTGTCCTAGGCACGTTGATGCTTGCAGCCAGACAGCAAGCTCAAGGCCAGAGATTTCAGAGCAGGCATGGAAGACTCTTAATCAAAATAACACACCTTCTGCTTCTGCTCCCAGATCATAGACCCATCCTCTTACTAATAGATCATCCACAAGTGGATATCAGTCTGATATCCAGATGTCCTGTTTCTCTACATCTGAAAGCAGATCTCTTTTCCATTAACATTTATTGAGCACCTACTATATACTGATGCTTGGCACTTTGCCAAACACCATGTCATTTAGTCCTTTCAGAGACTTTGTGAGTCATACACCATTAACCTCATTTCCCAAACAAAGGAGTTTTGGAGATGATAATCAAATTGCCCCAAATCACAGGGAAGATGATGTAAGTTCTACTCCAGACTCCAAATCCAGTTCTCCTTCTACCTTTTCTTTCCTCTGCCTTTCTGATTGTTCAGGAGGTAAGGAAGATCTGCAAGGATGGCAAGTTCAATGCTCTGTGAGGGCAGGCTTACCGTTGTGGATCAGGTGCTTCTGACAGTCTGACGCCTGATGTCCACCGCAGGGAGGGTGGTGTCACTAGAGGGTCACGTTAGCTACCCTACCTGAACTGGCCACGTTGAGAGATTTGAGAGTTACTCAGCAAAGCTGAATCATCATGGCATGAGAGCTCTTCTTCAAGAAAGAAAATACCTGTCGCCCTTGACAGGTGCAGGTGACACCTCAGAAAGTGGTATTATCAAGCCCTAGAGCCCCACCCTACAATTTCAGGGAACATCAGCAGTTTCCCTGTGTTACCAGGTAGGCTGCTAGGCAAGGTGCTGTTCACCCATGCTTGGCTCTGAGTGGCTTAAGTGCAGCTTTGTATCTCTGATCTCTCTTTGAAGGACACAGGGAGGGTTCCACGAACATCCAGGATGAGGGGGGTTGGGAAGGGGGTTCAAGTCACCGTTTGCCGTGGTTGCCCTGCCTCCTCCTCTCCTCCTGGGTGCTATGCCCCCATCTGGGCCCTGGCAGCTCTCCTGGAAGGTGGTAGCCATACTCCTAGCTCCTCTCCTAGCCTTTTGTCTTCTCACTCTCCCCTGCAAAGTTAGAGGATTCAGAGCCATGCAAAGCAGGACATTTTGGATGAAAGGAACTGGAGACATTTGACCTGCAAAAGAGAAGACTTGGGGACATAACATTGCTCTCCAATCTCTGACAAATGGCAGACTGGCTCTGCACAGCCCCGGAAGGCAGCACCAGTGCCGATGGCCAAGTTTCAGGGATGCGGCAGAGGATGTGCCAGAATAAGAGAGGAGTTTCAAGCCTTCCTGCTGCTCGGAGACTACTCCATTGCAATTGGCTTCCTTCTTACTGTGCAAATCCCCCAGCACAGGGATGGCAGCAGGTTTCCTACTCAACTCAGCAACTCGGAGGGCTAGAGGGTGGCATTAGGGAGGACTGAGGCTATATCCAGGTTTCAAGGGAAGGGGTACCAGGATTTGTTCTCAGGGGCTGGGGAAATGAGGGGACTGGCCCTGAACTTGCTGTTTATGGCTTGGCACTACTCTTTACACTGATGGATTCTCAAAAATGGTTTGTGAAGTGGAATAGAATTGCCTTGGAGGTGTTGAGTTCCTCTCCACCACACCAGTGTTCCAGTACAAACCACCAAGGCTCTGAGACACTGTCCTGCAGGTGGATTCCAGGAGCAAACTGGTAGCCTGCAGGCAGTCCGCTGATATGTTCTCTAGCCATGCCAGAGCATATAAATCCCTCGTGTGTACAAATGACTGTGCTATCATCCATCTGGAGAGGAGATTCACATGCTCACTGATAGAATCTGCATGCAGTTTATTAATGCCAATGAGTTTCAGGTATGCATAGTACTGCGTGCCTTTAAACTAGGCCAGTACAACCAAGAGCTAGGACTTCAGCATCTAGCTGACCTGGTTTAAGGTCCCAGTTTTGCCATTTTCTTGAGGTGGTTCCCCTTGTCACCCTCAAGATTCTCATCTGGAAACAGGGCCCAGTGAGAGAACCTTCCTTACAGGCTGATGTGAGAGATACGAGTAAATCACTTTGCCCAGTGCCTGGTCTGTGGGTAATGTCCCATAAATGGCCACTATTCTAATTCATATAGTTTTAATAAAATATGGGCCCCTGGGCGGCGGCCTGAGCGAAAGGATGGTAATGCTTGTAATCAGCATGTCAGCAATGTCTATGCACGTGGCCACCCACTGAAGAGTTCAAAATCACCTATTTCACAAAGCCACCAATGCATCCATCCTTCCCACGAACGCACTCACACTATCTGGGGGAAGAAACTCTTCTTCAGAGGGGAGACAGAATGGCCACCTTCTGATTATCTGCTATGGGGCAGGCACTCTCACTTCCAGCCTCTGAGTTAATCCTCTCCAGGAGCTTAAGAGAGGGGTATTCTCACCTCCGTTTCACTTGTGAGGACTCAGCACATCTTCTAAGGTTCCAGAGCAGGCAAGGGGGCATCTCTGGGATTCAAATGCCGCCCCACTAGACTCCCAAGCTAAATAATTTCCCAATAGCCACAGCTGCTTCTAGAGAGAGCCAAGGTGCCCTTGAGTCCTGATTGTGCTCAAATCATCCCAGATTCTTAATCCAAGACCAGAATCCAGGGATATCCCTCATTGGTCTGAGTTCTGAAGGTGAGGCTGGTGGTGGTCCCCATCCACTTGGCAGTCTTGCTTGTGGAATGCCAGAGCTGCTGGGAGTGGGGGAGTGGGAAGGCAGCTTTGAAGTCTTCCCTCATGCTGAGCTGCAGAAAGCTGGCTTGTTGTCTTATGCAGAGAGCAGTTGAGGATATCAAAGGGAAGATGGGATGTTAAATTTTGAGTGATCAATGTTTAATAGTCTGGGTTGTAAACTGTCATGAGGATGCTCTAGGAGGGGAGCTGTGTGAATTGCAGGGTTTGCCATGTGATGGCTGGAGAGGATCAACCCTCTGGAGGTGCCACGCATCAGCAGGGAGGACAAATGGAGAGTGACGGAGGGTGGATCCACACCCACCAACTGGCCACTCACTGTGGGGACTTGAAGAAAGCATGGACACAATTAGGAAAGAAAGGGTGAGGACATGACCTCCTCTGCCCCAGGAGTGATCCTCCATGCACTGGTTCATCCTTTCAGCCGGATGCTTTAAGTGTAACCCCGTGCCCAAACCAGCTAGGTCAGGGGCAGGGCGGTCCCCAGGGGCCAAAAGAACCTGAGCACTTGCCAGTGAACATCTGTTTGGTTGTTTACTAAAACTTATCTGGAAAATTCCAGCCTTGCCACAACAAGGCATGGAGGGGAAAGGTAGGAGGCAGTGTGGGTCCAAGGGGAGGGTGATGCTGGGATGGACTGGGACCTGGAGAGGTGGCACTGGTGTCCCTCTCTTTTCTGGATGTCCTAACATCCAGTGGGCTCTGCCGTTTACTCAGAAAGGAGGAGAAGGGAGGAGAAGGTGGGGAGGTGAAGCCCCTTGCCTGTGATCACCCGGCTGCAGCAGATCAGGTCTTCTCAGGGCCAGGCACTCTGTCCCTACCCTTGCAGGCTGCCTCTGCAGCAGAGAATGCAAGATTGTGGGTCCCAGCTCCAGCTCTGTTGCCTTTGCAGCTCACACGTTCTCATCAGTACAGGCCGTATGGCCCAGACATGGCAGTGAGTAGGGAGGAGCTCTTCCTAAAAGCTTTCTTGGCCAGAGAGCAAAAGACAGGCTGAGCGTCCCTGACGGCTGCCTTCTTCTGTACCCAAATTTGAGCATCACAAGAGGATCAGGAAAGTCTTAGAATGGTCTCTTGGGGAGGTCCACCTGAGCCCAGGAATATGGGGGAGCCACAGGCACAAGGGCAAACCCCAGAATACCAGCTCCCTGGGCCAGGCCAGGCAGGGACTGCTGGACCCCACATGGGCGCCTGCCGTCTCCTCAGCAAAAGGCAATTTCACGACTCTCTGGGAGAGAAAAGATTTTATTTACTTCTTTTCAAAAGCTTCAGAATTCTTCCTGAACATCAAATAACTCCTGGCAAACACATCCTGATGAGTAACATGGAGTGAAATAGAACCAGATGGGCAGGCTCACTCCGGGCGTTGTGCTGGAGGAGGAAGGGCGAGTCCCACTTGGAGAGAGGCTGGGCTCCAGGCCGCAGGAAGCGCGTGGGGAGGGGGCACAGCCGTTCAGGCAGAGAGGGGCGAGTCCCCAGGACCCTGCCAGGAGACAGAGCCACTCCGCCTGCCATCTGGCTTTCTTGGGAGGAGAACAGAGGAGGGGCCTGGGGCAGCCAGTTGTACCCTGGGGTGAGGATTAAGCTGAGACTGGCAGGATGGCCACGGGGCCCTGCTGCGGGGGCTTGGGTCCTGTGGTGGGCAGTGAGGACACTGGGTGTTTTGTAGAGTCCCAGGAGACCCTCCTGGGGTAGACTCAGCTAGCTAGCTCCACAATAGCTGCTCCCCTTTTCTTTCTTACAAATGGAACCCTTGAATTTGTTCAAATCAGCAGAAGTGCTGCATGTCCCACCTCCCTGTCAACCAGGGGAGACCCTGTGACAGACCTGGCCAACCAGAAGCATGAGTTTCTGGAGGGCATGACTGGAAAGCTTTGCCCTTCTCCTTTAGCCGCTGCTCTTTCCCCTGCCCTGTGTCTGACCTCCAGACATGAGCGTGAGGCTGCAGGGGGATCTGCCATCTTCATCTTGAGCTGTGAGATAACCAAAGACGGCGGAAGAGCAGGAAGCAGCCCGGGCCCCCATGGCTTCATGGAGCCCCCACACTGTCCTTGGACCTTCATCACTGTTAGATGAAGCAGCTGTTCTTTGGATCCTCCATGACACATGGTCGAAGGCGATCCCTACGCCAAGATCGGTGGCCCCTCCGTTTAGAGCCTCCTGGCCTTTGCTCATCTCCTCCTCCCCTCCTGGGGCTCTCCTTCCTCTCCTCGCCCCCTTTCCAGTTGCCAAGGCTGGGCTCCAAGGCCTTCTTCTGCCAGAGGCTGCATCCCTGCCACCACTGCTGGCCTCAGGCCATCCCCTCATCCCCTTTCTAAGTCTACCTGAAATCTCCAGCCCTGATGTTCTGCCCCGCTACCCACAGGCCTGCCACGCCAATTTCCTGTCTTTTCAGGATCAACTTGTTAGGATCCAAAGTGTTAACTCCCTAGTTTGCCTGGGACTGAGGGGTCTTGACACAGGACTATCTGGGTTTGCAACACTGGGCCCACTGCCTGTCCCTGTCTGTCCACTGACCTGGTACCAGCACCAGACTCGGGCCCCTAGAAGGCTGTCATCATTACACCCCCAGTGCCTGACTGTTTATGTATATATATGTAGCTGGCAGTCAGTTTGTTGAATGAATGAATGAATGAATCTGTTTCCTCCAAGCAGAGCATACATTCTATTTGTTTTAAATAATAGTTAAACAAGGATAGTCTACATTTGTCATGTTTTGCAAGTCCCACCTCCACAACCCCTCACTAACAACAGCCTGATTTCCTTTCAGAATTTGCCTCTTTCCCATTGTGTGTGTTCTTGGTAGAGGAGGATTCTAGGCTCCTGCCTCCCATTACAAAAGCCAAAAGGCCAAATCCAGCTCCCCACGTCTCCTGGTCCTCCCCAGGGAGCAGGCACGTGCCCCAACCTCTTTTCTGAGAGTTTGCATCTGGAGGGAGGGATGCAGGGTGTCGGACAGGCTTCTTGGTTACCAGCAACAGAATCCAACTTGGTCAGGATTGAAGCAGAAAGGAGAATGTGTTCCAAAGGAGGTGAGGTAGCTCACAGATTCACAGGGAAGGCTGGGAACCAGGCTCAGAAACAGGCAGCATCAAGGCAGTCCGGGCCATAGTCAGGATCCCAGCCAAAGTGTCCTTAGGAAGCCAGCCCCACGTGAACATCGCTGCCCAGGCTGCCACAGCTTGCTCCAGATGCCAGGCACAGACACTGCTATTCTGAACAGCACTGCCCCTGGAAGTGGACACGGCTGCTATGATTGTTGCCCCAGCCTCCTACCACCAGCATAGATGTGTCTTGCCCTGTTCCATGCCATTGCTTCCTCCAGTCACCAACCTGGGCACATGCCTTTGCATGGACTCAAAGGGCATGGGAACTATGCAGATTTGCAGCCCAGTCCATGGTGGGAGGCTGACTCTGCCACTCCCCAACCCCAACACTTTTAAGGTAGGGGATTTATCAAGCCTAGAAAGAAGGGGTCATCCGATGACAGACAACCAGAAAGAATGACAGAAGCCACTAGACCCGGAGACAGAGGACAAGGTTGGAGGGCGTTTGTCTCAGCCTTGGCAGCATGCGGACCAGATGTTTCCCACTACAAGGTGGTGGCTGTGGCTCCTAATCCAGGCCCTTGGCAGAGGCCTGGGCTCCCGCCTTCCCCAAGCCTGCTTCTCTGGGCTCCTGTCACTTCTGTGAGCTCCCGACATCCTGCCAATAAATTCCTTTTTGCTTAAGTTAACCAGTGTTAGTGTCTGCTGGCTGAAACCAAGCAACGCTAAGTGAAACCACATGTAAACACGAGTACATGCTGCTTGTAAAACACTAAGACAGTCCTGATAAGGCTGCAGGCCTCCTGACACCACCCCTTCCAACATTCTTTCCAAAAGAAACCACTGGTATAAGCTGGATGTGTGTGTCTCAGAACTGACTTGTGCTTCTATCCCAAGTATGGAGCCCTAGTAGATTTTACCTAGAAACAATATTCTACTTCATTGAACCTAAGATGCCTTCCATTGTAAGTTGTGCCACTATTTTATGTGCTACCAGGAAGGAAAAATAGTTGCCGACTAAACAATGACCCAACATTAAGAGCTGTCAATTGCTGGTTTAAGATGTGAAAAAATGTGTGTATATTAAAACAGATGAAATATGGTCACAGTAACAACTGTTTCACCCTTACCATGGGCCAGGCACTTTCACTAGTATTTTGCTCATGTTAACTCAGTTAATCATTTAATATGCTCAATAATTCCTTGAGGTTGAAATATAATTATCCATATTTTACAGATGAGCAAACTGAGGTACAGTTACATTCAGTTGCCTGCTCAAAGTTACAAATCTAGCAAGTGGCAGAGCTACAAGTCAAAGAAATTCTGGATTTTAGAGCTTTCTCTCTTAACTACCAGTGTTATAGTGTCTGTGTGTGAGCGCAAGTATGTGCTTGTGTGTATGTATACATATGTACATGTATATGTGCACAAGATTACAGAATTGTACATTTTTTCACTTAAGAAGTATTATGCTGTATGTATCACTCTGCCCCTTGCTTTGTTAATCCAATAGGCTCTTGCATAAACATCGTCCCATTCTTTCTAGCTGCTGAAGTATACTCTTACCATAAAGTCTCTAGCCATTCTCCTACTCGTGGTCACTAAGGTTGTTTCCATTTCTGACACTTATACCAGCAAGGCTGCAGTACACACCCTTAAACAGGCCTCCATGAGCCCATGCATAAGTGTTTCTCTTAGCTAAATAGAGAAAAGTGGAACTGCCACATCATAAGGTATGTGCATTTTGAATTTTAATGGATAAACCAGCCCCTCATCCCATCAAAGCTACCACAATGATTTGCACCCCACCAGCAACTAACTTGGGCACATGTGTGTGATTTGTATCCCAGACTCCTCCTCACCAAATCCGAGGGCTGTCCAAGACCTCATCCTCCACAGCAACTGTGAGGCTTTCAATTTGCCTGACCTGCTCCCCACCCTGGAAGTTCCTCCTCCCTTGGCATCTAGGAAAATCCACATTGTTGGGGCTGCCACTACACAACTTCTTGTCTCAGTCACTCACTCCTCACTCTGTCCAGCTGTGTTGCAGAGGGGACTTTCTCAAGAGGAGTGGCATGTGATATTAAGAAGCATTCTGAGGTGACAAGAAAGGGCCTCCACTGTCACATAGGTCTGGCAGACACTGGGAAAAGCAAAGCTGTTTCAGGACTTCTTAGGGCCTTTATTGAGTGAGCTACTGTGTGATTGCAATCTCCAGAGAAGGCAGGAGGAGCCACAGAGGAGTAACTCCTACTGGTTCCACACAGTGGGCGTGTGTGCTGAGCCAGACAGGGATGCAAGCAACTCAGGGCCATCCTCCCCTTCCTGCCCTCCACTGAGGCCAGGTCCCCAGACCCTTTCCTCTCCCCATGTCTGCCTGCACCATGACCCACTCTCCACAATCTTCCTGGGCAAGGCAGAGGAAAGAAAGCTGGCCAGGAGCCAGGAGGCCTGACCACACCTTTGAAGTTTAAGGTCTTGAGTCAGTTACCTAACTTCTCTATGCGTCAGTTTCCTTGCCTGTAAAATGAGGAAAATACAGTACCTACCTAGGATACTATGTGCAGTATAAAAGCATTAATACACAGAGCATGCAGAATAGCACTTTGTGTGGAGTGAGACCCTAGCATGCCTTTGCTGCAGGAAGGCAGTAGCACTGGGTTCCAGTTTTGGCTCCATTGCCCACTTCTGTGTGACCTTGACTCCATGACTGCCTTCCTCTGGACCTCTGTTGCCTCATTTTATAACAGGGGCAGCTGGGCCAAATTTGAGGATTGAAAGAGTTCCTGCCTTCAAGGGCTCCTAGCCTGTGTCTCAGTCAACCTTGGCTTTCCCAGAGCTCAACACGGACATGACCATGGGGCCCATGCTCAGTGACTGTGGGGTGGGCTGGATTGAACAAAGTGGTCCCTGCAAGATATGGGAGGGGGCGCACTGACTAAATGAATCAACAGGACAGCCAACAGCCCTGGGACAGTCTCCAAGGCAGGATGCTGGGGGAGGCAGGAGCCAGACGAGACAAACACTCGAGGGTGTTATCAGACCATTAGGAACCTGGAAGAGGTGGGAAGTACTCAGGAAAGGTTTCCCAAAGAGGGAGGGACTCGAGATCAGCCAGGAATGATGAGTATGATTTTGCTTAGCTCCAGGGAATAAAATTAGGTACTGCAAGAGCAATTTTCACAGAACAGTCTCCAAGCGGAGAGAGCAGGGCTGGGGTGAAGGCTTGGTGGTGAAAATTCAGGCATCTGTGCAGATGTCTGGGGCACTTCCCTCCGCTTGGGTGTGAGGCAGACACAGCTACCCTGCCCAGCCTGTGCAGAGATTAGATCTATCCCCTCGCAAACAAAGCCAGGGTCTCCCACCCCCTCCACAGGCTTACCCCAGTCCTCACTGGGCTAAGCACAGCTCCGTGGGCTTAACAATCCCCCAGAGAAAGAGGGATCCTCGACAGAGACAAATGAGACACGACATCTTCCTCCCTCAGCTGCCCGGGAGACCCAGACATCCCTCACACCCGAGACGAGCTCCAGCCCTCCGCTCTCTCATTATCTTTGCTGGGGTGTCCTCAGGCCAAAATAACGCACCCAACCCCTGCCTGTACCTGGGTGTCATTATGATGACTCCTACTTGAAATTATTTGTTTTTCTCTATTGATCTTGCTTCGACACTGGAAAAATGTATTCTTTGTACAGCATTCCCAAGGGTTTAATTTGTCCATGTTGGAAGCCTTTTTTAATAGGATTCTGCCCCATTGTTTATTCTGAACATTGAGTTCCGAGAGTCGAGATTCAGCTCTTTTAATAGAAACTCATTACCAGGGTCCCTCTGCATCAGAAAACTGATACTGACACTGCGAGGAGGAGACAAATTAGGAGCCTGCCAAGGGCCCGTCTGATCAGAAGGCCCCATGAGAGGCGACGTTGCCATCCAATACCTGCCACCCTCCTCCTGTTCGGAGACCTAGGGGGTGACAGCCACCAGCTGGGCAGACCCAAGCAGCCCCTCCACCCCTGACCAGTTTCTTTCTCAGAAAACTCTACCTTGAGTGGACCCTGGTCTCCTAGAGCAGTGTTTCTCAAAGCCTGATCTGTGGGACCCTGCATCAGAATCCCTTGGTGTCCTGGGGCCAATTCAGGTGGTCAGGTCTCCTCCAGACAGTACTGCCCTTAGACGCCTGCCATGGGGCCCATACCACAGGGGGCTTCCTTGAGGGACTTCCTTCTGTTCACGACTAGTTGGGTTGGCAGTGCCATCCAGGAGGCATACCCCACACCTGGACCCATTGTGAACCCCCATCCCCATTTGTTTCTCTACCCCTGCCCCCTACTGCCTCCAGGAGCTGGCCAGATGTCCCAAAGAGCCCTGAGGGCTCATGCATATGGGGTCAGCCCAGAGCCCTGTGGTGGGCCCCTGCCCCAGGCAGGCAGCCTGGTGAGTGGACTGCTCCCACTGGCCAGCAAAGTTTTTATTTCACAGCATCACATGAGATGGAGTCAGCAGAATGGCGCTCACATGATTTTGAGTGGCTCAAATGGTTTATGTAGACAGCCTTCCCTGCAAAACAGAAAATATACTGGCCTGAAGCCCTGTACACCCCAGGGGCAGCCATGCCTCCAGATCTACTACAACAGACCACTGAGGAACCCAGGAAATTCAGGATATACCAGAAGAATAGTGACGAAAA
The DNA here is from genome assembly GCF_000001405.40 of Homo sapiens. Taxonomy (NCBI): domain Eukaryota; kingdom Metazoa; phylum Chordata; class Mammalia; order Primates; family Hominidae; genus Homo; species Homo sapiens. The sequence continues at coordinate 78,809,384 of NC_000010.11, forward strand.
GAAAGAGCATGGGTTTTAGAGTTATTCAAAGCTGAGCTCAAGCTGAGATTTGCAGCCAATCAGCTGGGTGATATGAGCAAGTTACTAACCCTCTCTGGACCTCACTTTGCACTCATAAACATTTTTGCTTCAGGGTGGCTTTAATAGTTCTTTCTGGAACAAGATAGCCTGCAAATCACACATATATGAAACTGGGACCATGCTTGTGATGTACCCAGAATCATACCTGGCATGTGATACGAACCTGGAATCATTTATTTGTTCAATCAACAAATATTTATTGAGATTCTGCTATGTGCCAGGCACTGCACTCAGCCCTAGTGAAACAACTAAACAGGCTCAATCCTTTGCCCACATAAGGAAAGGCAGATGTTAGATACAGGCAATTCTAAATCATTTCTTTAATGGCAGTGGTGATGGTCCTATATGGTGCAGAGCAATGTGTCATGGAGAGTAAGGGACATGCTCACGAAACCCACTGAGGAGTCACAGAGGGCTCCTCTGAGAGGTGACCATTCTATTGGGACCTGGAGGTGCAACCAGGTTTACCAAGGGAAAATAGAGACCATGAGCACCTCCTGGTCTGGTTTCTGCATCTTGGGGCACCTTCCTCTCCCTGTGATAGCTCGTTCTGGAAGTAAATAAAGATGATTGATTTGACAGCTGCTCTGCACAGAATCTATATGAGCTCAGTAGGTTTGCAGAGTATGGGAAGGCAGATAGTGGCATTGCTGAGGCCTGACTGTTGGCTAGGCATGGCACTAAGTGCCTTTCTATGCATTATCCCATTAGATACCCACAGTAGGCCTGCATGTCTCCCATTTAACAGATGAGAAAGCTGAGACTCAAAGAGATTAAGTAATTTGTCACCTAAGTAGAGTAACTGAGCTCATAAGCAGTGGATCCAGCATCCAAGCCTAGACAATGTGACCTCTTGTGCCATAGGCTAAGGCCTCCATACCCCACCTGTTACACTATCTTTAGAATCCATTCAAGGAGGTCACCTTTTCTCTGTAGAGAGGGCTGGACACACTTGGAAGTTACCTGAAAGAGAATTGGCTTGAATTATATGAAACTACACAAAACCCAGTGCAAGGTTGGAGGACAACAGACCTGGTGTCTTGTCTAGACGACCCCCAGAGTGACCTCAGGCTGTCACTTCCTCTCTTGGCCTCAGAGACCCCATTTGCAAGATGAAGAGCTTGGACTAGGCCAGTGGTTTTCCACATCTGTTCTTCAAAGCCCTGGGCTTCCATGAAGGTGGCTAGGGGCTGCCTTGGATAGGTACTGAGCATTTGCTGGAAGACAATCTCTGTGGCTGTGATAGCCACAGCACACGAAGGTGGTCATTAAAAGCTTTTTCTTCTCTAATATCATTCATTCTTAAGTCAGTCTCCATTTATGGAGCACACACCATGTGTGAGGTAGGCATGGAGGATCCAGGCAGGTCTCTGCCCCAGAACAGCTCTGAGGCCAGAGGAGGATGGTACCCAGAGCCACTGCCCAGAGTAACAAGGTGCCATGGGCTCCTTCTCAGTCTAACCAGGGGCTCAGAGGAAGGGAGTGGCAGCAGCCAAGCTAGCAGCTGAGCCCAAGGTTCTTGGCACTCAGGACTGAGTTCTTTCCCCACCCTACCTGCATCAAATAGGTTGATTTGGGCATTGAGACAATGGCCATTTTATGGAGTAAAAAGATCTAGTTAGAATCCCAAAGGGCTGGAGAGAGCGGCAGGGAGAAAGGCACAGGGGAAAGCATGAGCTGAAGCATCAGACAAAGGTAGGAGATCGGGGGAGAACCCATAGCCAAGCTGGTGTGAATCCTTTGGATGATAGAGCAAGAGCTCCTAATGGTCACAGCCAAGGATCTGCTGCTAAGAGAAGGAGGAATACTAGGGCACTTACCTGTCTGTGATAGTAACAATACTACCAGTAACAATTACTGCTATTTATTGAGCAACTGTATTAGTCAGAAGAGGCCAACCTATGCTGCAGGAATAAATAGCTCCACAATCTCAGTGACTCAGCACAGTAAAAAATTGTGTCTTGCTCACACAGCATCCATTGCAGATCCAGGGTGAATGTTCTCCCTACAGGGACTCGGCCCCATGGCTGATAGGTCCTCCACCACCCAAAGCAGCACCACCTGCAACACGTGGCCTTCTCAGTCGCTGGGCAGGAAAGAGAGGCTAGAGAAGGATGTACAGGATTTCCCTAGCAGCCTTACTCAGGGCTCTCCAGAGAAAGGGAACCAGTAGGACATATAGAAATATACAAGAGGAGATGTATTGGCTCATGTGATTATGGCAGCTGAGAAGTCCCACTAACATCTGTCTGTAAGCTGGAGAACCAGGGCAGCCAGTGGTGTAATACAGTCTGAGACTAAAGATGCAGAACCAGGAGCTCCAATGTATGAGGGTAGAAGAGGATGCCCCAGCTCAGGAAGGAAGAGAATTCACCCTTCCTCTGTCTTTGTGTTCTATTGGGACCCAAACAGATGGGATGATGCCCACTCACATTGATAAGGGAGATCTTCTTCATTCAATCTACAGATTCTAATGCTAATCTCTTTGGAAGCACCCTCCTGTGAGGTTCCATTTCTCTGGAGAGCCCTGAGTAAGGCTGTGAGGGAAAAGCCTGTACATCCTTCTTTAGCCTTTCTTTCCCGCTCAACGACTGAGAAGGCCACGTGTTGCAGGTGTTGCTGCTTTGGGTGGTGGAGGACCTATCAGCCATGGGGCAAAGTCCCTGTAGGGAGAACATTCACCCTGGAGAGCTGTCAGGATCTGCAATGGATGCTGTGTGAGTGATCACACTTTACCAGCTATCTGGGTATCCCTTAGTCCAGTCAAGTTGACACCTAAAATGAACCATCACTGCCCCAGATCATAAGTGACAAAAATGACACCAGTTTCGCTGGCTTGAACTTAGCACTTGGTCCACTAATCTTCAACGATGGGTGAGGTGGGGTGGGAAGTGCTGTCTTCTGTGTGGCTGGAAGGAGGAGAATCAAACATGGTGAGCATTAGTGATGTCTACCACAAGCATTAATGTGTGTCAGGCACTAATTAAGTACCTTACATAGATTGTTTCACTGACTCTACAACAGCTTGTGTTACAAATAAGGAAGCTGAGGCACAGAGAGAATGAACAGAAAGAATCTACCCAAAGTTAACCCAGCTAGTAATGGAAGAGTAATAATTCAATCCTAGGTGTTCAGGGTGCTTAAGTCTCTCTCCACCTCCTTCCAGAATCTCAGAGGTCATCAGTGCAACAATACTCCAGAGATGGGTGATCCATTGTCACAGTGCAGTCCTTCAGTCAACCCAATAAAGGCATCCACGTCCTCAGCATTAGGCAGATGGGAGAGGGACACCATGCTTCCCAGTGACCTGGGACCATCCTCAACCCTTTGGGATGAGAAGTCAACAGAATAAAATATTTCTCAGTGAGGAAAAGAAGTAGGTGTCTTGGAAGGGCAAACCTGGCCCGAGTGGCTTCTGTAGCTGAGAGAGAGAGAGAGACAGAGATCCCCAGAAATGGTGCAGCTCATCCCAGAACACTTCAGTCACAAATTCCAAGTGCAAGGAGTTGTAAACAGATCATCACTGTGGTTCAACCCATGCACTGGGGTCTGAAATTCCCAGTTCAGGCCAGGGGAAACAATAATAAACATTGACTAGCATATCTAGGTTCATTGACTTGAAAGGTCATATATTGATGGACAAAAAGCCAAGGTCAATATTTGATTTGAGGAACAATAAATCTTGATATCCATGGAAAGAAGCCATCGATGTAGGTGTTGTTAGGCAGAGCCAGGACGCCATCACAGCCTCCTCTGTGACCCATTAAAGGCACTCTTGTGTGGAAAATTGGGAGGAGGCTTGAGTGTGTTTAGCAGTTTTTAGGTATCTCTGAGTGAGTGTGTATTTTGAAGACAGGCCACAAAAAAGAGAAGCATACACTGTTTTCAGAAGACTGTCAGAATGGGGCCACTTTTGCCCCATTCATGCAAAAGAAAGGAAAATACCTCCCCTGTCCCCTCCCCACCTACCTGCTCCCCATAACCTGCTGATGTTGGAGATTTGCCCCCACTCTCACTGAGGAGGGATGTGAGTGGGATTTTCCCTTATCTGCTTTCCAGCTCTCTACTTGCCAATCCTTCAATGTCTTATTCTTTATCTCTCCAAGAAAGGCATGCCACTAAAACCAGAGCTGAGGCACACCTGCCAATATCTGCCTTGGAGAGGGAACTGGCTCCATTCTCCTGCCTTTCCAGGCTCTGCTCCAAGTCTTGCCCCTACCTCATGTAGAGCCTCCCAGACCCCTGGCCATCCCTGCGCAGTGCCAGGCATCTCCAGCTCCTTGGAGTGCTTACTGCCACACACCCTTCCCCTTCCTCTCTCCCCTGGAGAGATTTCACTAATCCTGAGACTCCCAGTTTGACATTGGCTCCCTTGTAAAGCCCTCCTTCCTCCTGCCCCATTCTGCCTCCATCCCTGCTGCAGCACTTGCTCCATCCCTTGGACAGTTTCTTTCTGCATGTCCATGGGTTTTCATTATCCTATGAACGACTACTTCAAAGGCAGGGGCACGTCCTTACTTAACTCTGTATCCCCGTTGCCTGGCCGTGGTGAATATCCAATATGTTGGCAGAATGAAGAGCAGGTCAATGGGATGAACAAACATACCAGATAAGGAACTCAGAGTCTGGGCCAGAGCAAGGAGGGTGCATGTGGGGCCTATAGGGATGGGAAAGGGAGGGCGCCTGAGTAGGGGGAGAGGTGGTGAGCACTGGAGGTGGAGCACGGCAGAGCATTATCCTCCCTGGCTCCTCATCCTCGCCAGCGGCTGCCCTGACAGTATTAATCAAGGCCAGAGCATGTGGAAATATCAGTCCACTGTGTTCTATTCAAGTTCTCTGGAACTAAATTATGTTGTCAGGATTGGACAGAGCAGGAATGGAAAAGACCAGGCTGGATGACATGGGGCTGTTAAAAGGAGATGAATGAGCCCAGTGGTTTCCATTCAATTTTTCAAGGTTTCCCAAGGCAGGTCTGACAAATACCACCTTATAATTCCCAGACACCCTGCGCAGTACCCTCCACACTCTCATTTTTTTTTTCCTGCCCATCAGATTAGAAGGACAAGGGATTCTTCCTTATGTCTTGCAAATGGGGCAATGGAGAAACTGGGGGGAGCACTTTGACCCAGGTCAAGGTCGGGCCAAGGTCACGCCATAAATCAGTGACACAATCAACAGGACAAACTCTGAGCTTACAGCACAATGCTCTCTCCATTACCCCACCTGCATAGCTTCTGCTGTAAAACAGAGGTGGCCAGACCTGCCTCTCAGGGCTGCTGCAAGGTGTCAGAGAGCTAACACACCTGAAACCACTTTTGACTGTAATGGTGCTATTCATTCATTCATTCATTCAGTCAGTCAGTCAGTCAGTCAGTCAGTGTTGATCCTGGACATACCATGTCCCAAGCCATGTTAGCTCTTATTTAAGGGCTGCTATAGGAGTATAGAAAGTAGCTGAGAATTAGAAACTGTTCACAGCCTTGCCACTTGACAGCTGTTTGATCTTGGGTCAGACATGAAGCCTCTCTGATCCTCTTCACAAAGTGATTGTCAGAACCAAATTAGTTAACAGCAGGCCAGCACCTAGCACAGTCCCTTAAAGGGAGTAAGTTGTAAATAAGAACTTACCGAATCTAAATGTGTTCTGCCACAAAAGACTGGGTGGCTCTTCCCTCCCTGTAGGAGGAGTGTCCCTGCAAAATGGATGTGTGTGTCGGGCTTCAAGTTCTGCAGTGTGCTGCAGTTGAGCATATCTCCCAAATCAGCAGTGAGAGAGCCTCAGTTGTAAACAAAGGACTCATTAAATTAGCATAAATTATTTTATGTAAATTAAAAATCCATGCTATGGCTTTTTATTGGTAGTGGCATCAAATCTTGCCACTGCACATGCTTGTTTAAAATTAATGTGCATAAATGCTCCAAATATTGTATTATTAATAATGATAATAATGTTGATGAGGATGATGATAATAAACACAATCTCATAGCAATGGCTATGGCTGGCTCTGAAAGCTCAGCAGGTAGTGCACTGTCATAGCTTCTAAGAGAAACAGCAAGATTACATAGCCCCTTCCTAACCACCCCAGCCCTCACTCATGGCACAATTTTGATGTCTTCACTGGGTTCAACTTACTAATGGCTTCTTCAAATCCTGCCCATTTTTTGAGGCTGTACTCAAGGCTATCTCTATGAATCAGTCAGAACATTAACTACAGAGATTTCTCCTTCCTTTTAATTTCTGAAACAACTTTTCCCCATCACTGTTCTCCATGTGTTATCTCCTTGGACTCACCTCAGATCTGTGAGGAAGGTGGCAGGTATATTTATGATTTCCATTGCATAGAGTAGAATCTACCCAAGGTCACATTGCTAGGAAATTACAGAGCCAGGACTAAAGTTTTTCTGACTCATAGGTATCAGTGAAGTGCCTAGCCAAGAGGCTTGCACATAGCAAATAATTAACCAATGTTTGTTAGGAAGAGAGAAAGAACGATGTGCATAAAAGGATGAGTAAGTGAAAAATTTGCAGAATGAAGTATTTAAAATTCCTCAATATGATGATGACCTTCTCTCTTTATTATGATCTATTCAACAGTCAGTCTACCAATGAACCTGTAAAGTGTTTGTTTTTGGAGGAACTGACCACACATTGACAAGCCCCCACTGAGTCTAAACCTAAACATAGGCCCATCCATGTGGCTTAAGGGAAGATGTACCCAGGCTGTCTACCAGCCCACAGGGCACCTTTCTAATAACTAGAGAAAGGCACCAAACTCCCCAACATAAGCAGGCTTAGTGAGCCTAGCTAGAGTTCATCCTCTTGGCCTGGTGTCAACCAATACAACCACACGTGGTGGCTCTGGATTTATTAAAGACTTCAGACTATTAAAAGGCTGAGCAATACCATCTCCCCCAGAGTTCCATGTCACTCTTTCTCCTTATGATAGCACTAGGCAGAGACTGCTTCCTAGGAGAGGGTGGGGGTGTATATGTGCACATGTGAGTGCATGCTCTTCCTGACTAGGAGATTCTCCATACCAGACACCAAGGGATTTAGGACAAATACTGGTTTCTGTACCCTGACTCAGATGGAAAAATGACATTCTTCAATCACACATGCAGGAAACAAACCACAATATTGGTGATACTTGAAAATTTGTCACCCATAGAAAGCATAGTCATTTTCCTATTCCATTAAAGTTGTTGCAGTTATCTCAAAATATTGACTACAGCAGAGGTCAGCAAACCTTTTCCATGAAGGTCCGGATAGTAAGTGTTGTAGGCATCGTAATCCATGCAGTCTCTTGCAATAACTTAACTCGGCTATTGCAGCTCTGAAGCAGTCAAAGACAATATGTAAATGAATGGACATGGCTATGTTCCAATAAAACTTTATTTACAAAAATAGGTAGTAACTCAGATCATAGTTCACTGATTCCTGATATAGCAAGTCATTACTTTAAAATTACAATAGTTAATAGGCTCTTGTTATTTAACGTGTTACTAAGGAAGCACATATATTACTATATAGACTTTTTTGTATTTTGAAAATTGCATTTCAATATAACTGGTTGCCTCTGTGACCCTATGTATTTGGTTTTATGCATTAAAAGCCATTATTCTGAGACAGACTTCATTAACTTCACTGGTCTAAGAAGGGAGTCCTTGACCCACTGGAGGTGAAGAGTCCCCAGTTATTCAATCCATCTCAGCTTCAGTTTCCTCACTGCAGAGTGGCAAAGCCAATAATAATATTATGCATGTCAGAGGGTTCTTGCAAGAATTCAATGTGGTTATGAACGTAAAGGTGTTTTGTTAACTAAAAGGAACCACAGAGATTTAAGGTATTAATATTTTTGTTTTCCCAGTGGTTCCTACTGTAGTCATCTTTACATAGTAGGTACTGAATAAGTGTTTGTTGCAGTCCAGTTAGCTGAGCCAAGAACCCGGCATTCCTTCTTGAGCAATAAGTAAGACAGGGGAAGGGGATGGGAGGGAGAGAGGGAAGGGGAGAGGGAAAGGGAAGGGAGGGAAAGAGAGGGAGAGAAAGAGAGAAGGGGAGGGAGGGAGAAGGAGAGACTAGAGAATCCTGGCCACTGTGAGTATTATTTCACAATTGTCTATGCAGAATTCCTAACCGTCACATCTATTTAGAAATTGCACTGGGGAATGAAAAGAGGAAGGGGGAGAGATGGCTATGTTTTGAGCAGAGACTTCCTGCTGATGCGGCAGGTTTTAAGAGCACAACTTGCACAGTTTGTGAAAGCACATGAACCTTGAAATAGAAATATGGACCTCTTAATTCATCTCTCTGTTATTTGATAAAGCATAAGGTAAATGAATGCAGAACATTTTCCCTTTAATTACACAAGGAGAAATGGTTGGGGGATGAGAGGTGGGGGAGCAGAGGATTGAGGGTGAGAGGCCACAGTGAAGCATTGTGCTTCCAAAGCAATGATATGGAATGGGCTTATCTGAGATTTTAGTTCTGCGGAAAGAGGCTGAAGCTCTACGCATTACAATAACAACCTCAGTGCCCAGTGGCTTCCAATCAGAATGCATTGTAAGGCAGGCAGTGGGGCAGCAGACCTCTGCCTTCAAAGGACTAGCAGTTCAGGTGCAGAAACAATTTGGAAATGCTTAAAGTGGGCATCAGTTCTGCCATGTGGTTAGGATCACGAGTCCCAGGCCCAGCTCCACCACTGAGTGGGGGCTTCTCTGAGCTCACTCTGTAGTCACTACTGGTATCCACCAAATATTTTTAGTTCTGCTCTCGCAAAGCTGACCCCTTCTCATGCTGGACAAGCAAATAAACCCTCAAACATGTCAGACAGGAGGCCTTGGGTCTAAACCCTTCCTCTCCCTCTCTCTAGACTCTTGCAATCCATCCCTTTTGGACCATCACAGACAGTTGGCCATGCCGGTGACAGCGGGCCCAGGCACAGCCAATTTGAGTGGAGGGATTTCAGAGTTATGGTGTTGCATTATTCAATTTATTTAAAGCCCTAATAGTTTCTTCCAGGCTGCTAAGAAACCCATATTTTATTCCATTTGATTGTGATTTGTTTGATTAAAAGTTGCTCTGGATACCATGTTAGAGGATAATCAGGGTTTGTGATGGGTTGAACAGTGTGCCCCCCAAATTCATATGTTGATGTTCTAACCCACAGCACCTGAGAATGTGACCTTATTTGGAAAGAGGCCCATTGCATATGTAACTAATTACAATGAGGTCACCCTTAGGGTCACTGGTCCCTGATCCAGTATGACTGTTACTGTTATTAAAGGGGGAAATTTTAACACAGACATGGACAAAAAGGAGTGCACCATATGAAGATGAAGGCGGAGATTGGAGTGATGCATCTATAAGCCAAGGAAAGCCAAAGACTGCCAGCCAATCATCAAACGTTAGGGGAGAGGCCTGAAACAGATTCTTCCTCACAGCCCTCAGATGGAACTAACCCCGCCACACCTTGATTTTGCACTTCTGGCCGCCAAAACTGTGAGCCAATAAATTCCCATTGTTTAAGCCAATGGTTTGTGGTACTTTGTTATGGCAGCCCTAGCAAAGTAATACAGGGTTCTAATTTGGTTTCCATCTGCCGGATGAATTGGGCAAGTTCTTTCCCTGGGCTTCTATTGTAAAGGCAGCACAACCCAGTGAAGGACAACAAAGGCTGGGGCCTGCCAACCTGGCCTTGCATCCCAGCTCTGCCACTTACTCGCTGTGTGACCTTGGACAAGGCCCTGAACCTCTCTATATCTCTATAGAAAGAGATAAAATACTACATAGCCTCCAAGTGGCCTCACAGCTCAAATATTCCACAAGCCAAATATAAATAAATTATTAAGAGTTTAGCATGATGAGTCATTTGCAAGACCACCAGGACTATTGTAACTGGACTATGAGCAGACAGGACCCTCTGCAGAAGATGCGAAATGAAGGAACATGACAGGTGGAAACAGAAGGCCTTCTTGCTGAGGTGGCTGATTTCTATCATAGCAGGATGTTTGTGATCCACTTGAAGTCACTGGGCCCTTCATCGAGTAGAAAGGCCAGGGCTGGTGAGCACACCTCCCAGCATAGGGCTGTCAGGATGCTGTAGGGAGGACCATGCTGCCATTGTGTCACAAAGTCCATGACTGACCATCTCTTAGATGACCACGTGGTTGAAGAGCAAGGCCACCATCTGCACCAAGAGGCAGAGCAAAGGAAACTGCAATTTGACAATTCAAAATATCTTCCACCCAGTTAATTTTTATTATTGAGTAATAACTCAAAATAAATATTTTGTTATTCTAAGTACTCTCTGTCTGTCCTGAATCGAGAAATGGCTTAGATTCCAGGCTCTTTGAGGGCCTACAAGTGTCCCGTCCTCTTCACTGCTCTCAGGGAAGTCTCCAGAGGAGCCAGCTCCCTCCGGTCACTCCCTGCAGGCCGGAAGGCCATGCATAATTAAAAACTTGGTGGGTTTTTTGCAATATTTACTGTAAACTCATGGAGGGGCTTGTTGAGACAGATTCTTAGTGTTGTGTTAGGAGCATTGTGTGTTCCTATTTCTCTGTGGAAAAAAAAAAAAAAGAGAGAAATCTCAGCAACAACACAACCTGCCCAGCAAAAATCCCAGCTGTTCCTGGCAGGAAACTGCAAGATCTCTTAGCAGCCGGCTGTTGGATGCCTAGCCCTGGACTGGGTGCTGTGTGGGGGTGGCATAACAGACAAGATAGCAAGCAAGACCTGCCCAGAGAACAGTGGAGGTCTCCCCCTCACATTCCTACCTGAGCAAGGCTCAGGCTGGGGTTTCAGCAAAGAATGGCTGAAACTGGGTGGTTCCAGGGAAGAAGAACATCCTGCAAATGCGCCCAGAGAATTCACAAGTATCAGCTGCCTGGTAGGGAAAACTTGGGCAAAGTATGTGACAGAGCTGACCCACTGCATATGCACATGGGTATAACCAGTTATGTGTTGTCACATGGCTGTGGGGCACTTGGCCAATAGTATAGAGATCACAAACACACTTTTGTGAATAAATAATGTATTAATCACCCACTCTGTGACAGGCAGTGTTACTGCAGTTGGGGACACCACGTAAATTCATAGACAAAGTAGTCAATAACTCCTGCCCTTGTGGAGCCCATATCTAACAGAACAATGGTGGGAAGTGACAACACAATCTGCAGAAGGTAGAGTTTTATGAAGACTCTGCGACTGGTTTACAATGTGACTTGCAATGTCATTGTCCCTCTTCTAGCCTTCAGTTGGCTCATCTGTAAACTGAGACAAAGAGGCCAGTATTCTCTTGAGAAGACACTGGTTCATTCCTCAACTATCTTTGTGACTAAGGACAAATTATTTAACCTCTCTGTGCCACAGATACTTCCTACCAGTATTGGAGAAACAATTGAGGCAGTACATGTAGATGGCTTTGCCAGTGCCTGGCACATAATACACCTTCAGTAAGTGCTACTATTATCTAAAGAAAGTAAGACCAAGTGAGCTTAACCCCTCCCTCTACTGTCTTGTCTTTGAGAGGTTTTCTTCTCTCCAAAGAGCTCAGGGACCACAGGTCTTTGTCTCTCCAGAGCTCAGCATCTCTCTCGGGTCTCCTGACCTGAGCCAAGTGACCTATCCCTCCACAGACTTCTTCACACGCTGCAACGGGAAGGAGCCAGCCTTGAAAGTCACTTCCTGGAAGAGGCATCATAGTAGATAACACAAGTCATCAGCTTGCTCTGTGGTCAGCCAAACCAGGTATGAATCCAGGCTCTGCCACTTAACAGCTGTGTGACCTCAGGCTGGTCATTTAATTGCTCTAGAGCACTTCAGTAGAGCTAGTGCCTCCCACCCAGGGCTGTGGTGAGGATGAAGCCAGAGAGTGAGCTAGAGTGCTTAGGATGGCAGCACAGAGACAGGGGCCAATAGGTGTTGGCAATGATGACAATAAGCTCCTAAAGAGACCCACAGCAGAAGAGAGAATAGACGTATGCCTCTAGACATCACAGAGCTCTCTTTCCCACTCTAGAAAGGAGACAGCCAACCACTGGGAAGGCCTGGAGCAATTTGATGTGAATTTTCATTAACAGCCTGAATTAAGAACATGGAAGGTGGCCTTATCAAATTTGAAAATGATATAAATTTGAAAGGAAAGATAAATAAATTAAATGAAAGTCTGATCCAAAAAGCTTTCAGCAGTTAGGAATGATAAGTGGTAGCAAAAGTCCTGTGTTTGATCCCCCAAAAGCTGACGGCACATTCTTGGTAAGGGACACATGGTTTAACAGCAGCAAGGCTTAGAAAAGACATGGAGTTTTGAATCAAGAGTGACTTTAGGCCAGATTTGTAATCCCACCACTTTAGGAGGCTGAGGTGGGAAGATCACTTGAGGCCAGGAGTTCAAGACGAGCTTGAGCAACATAGTGAGACCCTGTCTCCACAAAAAATTTAAAAATTAACTAAGCATGGTGGTGTGCTCCTGTAGTCCTAGTTAGCTGGGAAGCTGGGGCAAGAATATTGCTTGAGTTCAAGGTTGTAGTGAGGTATGATCACACCACTGCACTTCAGTCTAAGTGATGATGCAAGGCCCTGTCTCAAAAAAAAAAAAAAAAAAAAAGAATGAGTTTAGAAAAGTTAACTATATGGCGTGGCTTCAAAAGAGTTATTGCTGACTTAGGCCACATTAATAAAAGTATAGTGCCTACATAAGGGAGGTGAGAGTCCTCTATTTTACCCTGAAAAATTATTGCTCTATTTCTATTTGTCTTGACCATTTGTCAAGACAGATATTACTCTTCTAGAACATGAGCAGAAAACAGATGCAAAGGATCTCAAAACCATGCTATTATTGAATGGGCTCACCAGGAAACAAACTCTGAGATGGAGATTGCTGTATTGCAATTTTATTAGGAAGTGCTCCTGGGAACAACACCTGTGAGAGTAAAGGAAGCAAATTTGAGCAGAGGGAGAAATAGAACTGTGTTGCTGTTGCAATGAAAGCCTTATTAAACTTATGGAGAGCTGGAACTCCCCTTCAAAATTGCTCTGAATTGAGGTGAAGCAGATGGAGCTTTGTGCCTCATATCACCCAGCCATGGAGGAGGCTTGCTCCCAGGCAGAAGACAAACAGAGCTTGGACACAGTAGCTCCTTTTGGCCAAGTGCAATTCCTAGGGGGAGACTTGGCTTAGAGCCATGAGCAAGCAGCACTCTTGGAAGCTCTGGGAATGAGTGCTTAACCCTGAAGGACAGCCTGGGCAGTGCATCTCAGCATCTACTACAGTCCACCCCTTGCACCACCCAAATCTGCTTGTTTCATCTAAGTTCTGGGAACAGCATATTCTGACTCCTGGATTCCAGTTGTCTCTTTTCCTGGGGAGACTTATAGGAGGAAGGTTAGTGGGACAGATGACAGCCACCACTGCTGCATGTAGCACTCTCAGTTCCCCTCCTCCACTTCTCTAGGTTCCTTTCAGTAGCACCTAGCACCTATGGTGGTCTCTGTGCTCATCCAATATCATGCCCAGACCTTATTCCTAGAGGGTCTGAATCCCTGGCTGCCATCCCATCCTTCAGGCCTCTCTGGATCCCGGGTACTTACTTCACAGATGTCTGTGCTTCTCAAATTACACAGTTTATTCCTGTTCAAAACTGGGCAGGAAAGAACAAAACACTTCCTAGTGTATCACCTTGGTGCCAAATACATTCTTCCCTGTTCTTTCATGGCGTAACGACAGCCCAACTTCCTCCTGACAACAAGGGTCCCTTAACTCTGCCAGAATAGTGACACTTTTTCCTTGCCTGCTGGTCCCTCAATGTAAGCAGCCCAAAGACACTGTGTAATACCGTAGCTTAAAGTTTAATGGGCTTTTCCAGTGTCCCCTGATGGAAGCATGCACCCTCTGGAAACCAGGACTTCAAGACCCACAGACCCTAGTTTTGTGGAGACAGAAAGCACAGATTCCCCAAATGGGTCCTTGGGAGTGATGGTAAACAGAGACATTCCTACTTCTACCCCTTTTTCCCCACACTCATGCATTTTACTGACTGGGGATCATTTAGTGCTCACTGATTTAGGGTGCATACTGCATCCTGGGCAATGATATCCTATGCTCACAGACATCATCTCCAAACTGATGCCTCAGCTGCACTTTCAAAGGCTACTTCATCACTCTGTCAAGTCAGCAGGGTCTGGTGGTATAGTTTGTGGTAATCTCAAAGGTTCCTATAGTCTTATATAACTGTGAAGTGGTTCTCTTGGTCTGATGCAATGTTATTTATATAGGATCCTAGATTGCTGGATCAAATATTCTATAAGCTATTAGATGAGGGTGCAGGCTGAAACCCTGCAGACAAGAGAGGTAAACCCGTAGCCAGAATGTATGTCCATTCCAATCAAAATGAGTCAATTTCCCTGTCAGAATGAAAGGGGTTCAATGTAATCAACTTGCCACCAAGTGGCCAGTTAATCTCTTTGAAGAATGGTGCCATATTAGCATCTCAGCCTTGGTCTCTGTTACTGGAAGACATTGGACAATGGCAGTAGCTACATTGGCTTTAACGAGTAGGAACCCCAGGCTGTGAATACCATGTGTAACCTCTATCCTTGCTCCCATGACTTCTTTGTTCATGGGTCCATTTCTGCCAGCATGAGGATTGCCAAGGACAGAGGCTGGCTGACACCAACGATTTGAATCATTCTGCCCACCTGGTGCCTCTTCTATGGCAGATACTCTCTAATGGGTGTCAACATGTCATTGAAAGGTCTTCACACTCCATAACAAGTCCCATTGTCTCATCCTTGTGGGTCTTTCCTGGGCCTTTTTATCTCTTCTCCTGATCTTTCTCCTTCTAGAACTGTGACCAATGGCTCAGTCATTCACTGCTTCCCATGAGTCCATATATGTTCTACCTCGAACCACTGCTCTTTGTACACAAAGTTGATGACCAGATAGACCAGGTACATTGCCCAGGGCTCTTCCCACTGAGAGGATTTCTCCCCTCTGCTGGTTTTCAGGGTCACCCTTGAATGGGACTGTCATGTATCAGCTGTTTATTTCCAGCTCATACCTAGATACCAAGTCAACACATCCATAAACAGAGCTTGGCTTTTTTCTACCCCTCTCAGCTAGTCTTAAGGAACTCCACCCTTGCAGGCACAGATGGGAGCTGATTGACTGTGGCGGACTATAGGGGAGTTTGGGCCTCCTTCTTGGGCAGATTACTGGTATCATCTGGCTCTGTTCATGCCTGATCCCAGATATGCCACTGCCATGTTACTGCTGGTGTCACCCAATCCTATGACTTTTTGGCTCCATATGAATCCAGCTCATGCTGGACAATTTGCTTTATGGTCACTTGATGTCTTATGGTCACTTGATGTCTTATGGTCAGGGGCTCCATCTCTACCAGGGCCCAGTAGCATGCTAAGGGTTATTTTTGAATACTGTATAATTCTCTGTTGCAGGTGGCATGGCCTTATTCCAGAATCCTAGGACTCTATGCAGTAATTTTCCTTTTAGAGCTTACTGTAAACTCCACGTCACTTCTTCTTCTACTACAGATACCTACAATACCATGAAGTCTATCAAGTTGTGTAGCTTACAGTTCTCTTTCCTGCAGAGCTGGAAGCCTGTCATGTCACTTGATAAATGGGTTGAAGCAGTTTTCCCAAGTGTGGAGTATACTGCTTCCAGAAACCAAAGAGGCCCTACTATGGTTTGAATGTGTCCCCCAAAAGGCATGTGCTAGAAACTTAATCCCCAATGCAACAGCATTGGGAGGTGGGGCCAGTTGAGAGATAATTAAGCCAGGAGGCCTTTGCCCTCATGAATGGATTGATGCTGTTATTAGATTATTGCCATTATCATGGTAATGGGTTTCTTATAAAGGGATGAGTTTGGTTCCCTCTTGTGCTCTCTTGCTCTTGCCTTTCCACTTCCTGTCATTGGATGATGCAGAAAGAAAGACCTCATCAGATGCTTGCCCCATTGTCTTGGACACACTTGCCACTTTTTGTTTACTCAGTTTTATTGACAGGATCTCATCAATTCCACAGACCAATGCCATATCCTACCAATTGTCTAGATAGTTCTAGACCTCTTGGACTAGATTATGACAGAAGACAAGAGTGTTACCTAAGCCTGGTGAAAGACCTTACATGTATGCAATTTTTCATCCCCATGAGAATGTGACCTGCTCTGGTGCTCCTTCATAATAGAGATCAATGATCAGACACCGTCTTCTTGAAGCTGTGTTCATCTCTCTAGCAAAATCACAGCACTGCAACTGAGGCCACTACTTAGTCAAATTGTGGTACCCTACTCTCATCCTCCATGGTGCATCTCATTTTTGTAGGCTTCTGTTGGTGAATTAAAAGGTGAAAGAATGAGGTCCACTACCGCTGCGTTCTTTAGGACTTTCAAGGTGGCATTAATCTCTGCCATTTCTTACCTGAAATGCAATATTGTTTTTCACATTCCTTCTTTGCTGTGGATGGAAGTGAAGGGGTTTTGGCAGCTTCTACTTGGCCCTTCCCACTGGGATACCTTATATCTCACAGTCCAAGGCACCAAAGCAGAAGGTTTGCCAAATACAGGTATGTTCATTACAGTTATACATTCAGGAACTGGGAAAATGTCCCTGGGGTGGCTCTGTGGATGCTGTGGGTCCACAGGAATCAGATCTGTGCTAGGACTGCATTAATGACCTGACCTCATCTGCATCCTCTCTAACAGTGGCCAGGATGACCCCAGTCCCTGTTTATCAAGGTCAACGCTGGTATTTACCATTTCTCAGTATACAAGTCCTAAAAGGATGGGCAGTCATCACTGGACACAGTTGCCATGGTGAGGTGGGGTCCTTCCTCATGAGGACCTCCCTCTCCTGCAGTCAGCAGACTGGCTCAGATCCAGACACTGGGCGAAGGGTCATGTTTTCACTCTTCTTTTTTTTTTTTTTTAAGCTGAAGACTACTTTTAGTCTCCTGATTATCCATCTTTGATTTTTTTTATTTTGTAGCTCAAACAATATCCTTGTTAGCATTCCCAAGAACAGGGTGACCAGCTCAGCCCAGTTTGCTCAGGACTTTCTTGGTTTTAGCACTGAAAGTCCCACACCCTGGATAAATTGACACAAGTGGTCACTCTACACTAAGAACATAACATTCTACTAGCCATGCACATTAGTCTGCAGGTCAGGCCCCCCTGCTGCCACTCTGACCTTACTGCTCATCGCAATCTCTGTGCCCACCTTGCTTCTGACAGCCACGCACCACCCCAGGCCTCTGTTCCCTCCTAGCATCCTGATTGCTATCAGAGAGCCCAGTTCTATAATGATGTCTCCTGAGGCCATGCCTGACCTACAGAGGCCACCCACCACTGAACCCCTCCCTGATGCTGGTACCATCTCTCAGTGCTTTGGTGAATGGCAGCTATCGGGGCCCTTCTGTGGGCCACAGTCATTTGGTAGGTTTTCTAGCTTCCATGGAATATCCTCTCCAGCATGCCCACTCCTCAGAGGTTTTGATTCCTCCTCCTGACATTTGCCATGGTAATTCTGGCATTTCTCCTTCACATAGCTTGGGCCATATCTCCTGCCAAGCTTCCAGGAGCCACCAGGCAGCACACATCTCAGGGTCCATGCAGGGTGTGAAATCCTCTGTTAAGGGAGAAGCCCTATGTTGATAAACTCTCGCTCATTTGCTTTTTTATTCCACTGCTCCTTATTCAGCCCCTCAGTGTGCCCTGCATCCACTCATGGACCTGCCTGGTTGGTGGTGTGTCCTGCACAAACTTCCTTTCCTCCCTCTGAAGGCTCGGCACTTACCCTCCTGGTTTGTGCAGTGGCTTGGTCCAGTGTCTGGGAGGGAAGCTGGAGTAGATGTTGCATCGGTAGCACATTGTCTTGTAAGACAGAGGCCTCTACCTTAACTTCAAGCCCGGGCAGTGCGTTAGCCTTTCACAGCTGGAAAACAATCATTTCGGCAGGCCCAGAGGATTCCAGGGCCCTGGAGCTTCAAAGTGTTCAAGTTCATTGACCCCAAGTCTCATAGTCGACTCCTTCCCAAGCAAGGCTGTGACTGTGGCATAGCTGACTTACCCAGGGTGAGAATTCAGTCTTCTCTGAAGCTTCAGAGAAGATGCTGCGCTTCTCTGAAGCTTCACCCTTAGAATTAAGTCTGGGTCCTGAAAAGCAGCTTTCTCATCTCTCCACTGCTGGACAAGTGCGTCTCTTTATGTCGCGGAGGAAGCCCACAACTTGCACATTTTGCCTTAAAGTGGTAATTAATCACCTACAGCCTTTTATTGTTTTTTTTTCCGATCCATTGATTGCATTCAGTAAGAGCCATGCAATTTCATTGTCCTTATAATTACTAATTTCCCCAGTCCTCTCCAGCTCCTGAAATATGCAGCCTTCCCTGCATTCTCTTCCATCCCAGTTTTTCCAACAGAGAAAAAGCCAGCCATTGCACCCACAGTTGAAACTATGGGCCAGGAGCTCTTAGCCCTCCACCTCCAGCCTGTGATGAGGTCTTCAGTGCCCACTGGGCAACAGGTGATCCAGCTCCACAATCCTAGCTAGATTCCATTTCCTCAGGCCACTCCTCGTTCTGGCCCTCTTTGGCTTGGTTTCCTGGGACTGCCATGAGGACTTACACGCAGGAAGTGTATTGGGATGTCTGGGGATCAATACCTGTGGGGAGTAACAGACTCCAGGCCAGGCAGAGAGAGGCTGAACTGCAGTGCAGCCGCAGCACAGGCCTCAGCCAAGCCCCAGGGGCTCTAGAGCTGGGAATGACTTTTCAGAGAATGTGTCTACCAGTCATTCAATTGGGCTGTGTCCTCCTCCCCTACATGTGGGGAGGGGCAAGACCTTGGGGGAGCCAGTGCCCCCTGCTCAGGGGAACTCCTGAGGAGGGACTCAGCCTCAAGCCAGCAGCGGCCCACACTCTGGGCAGCAGAATGAGCTCCTCGGTCCCCAGAGGGTATCTGGGCAGTGCACCCCAGCATCCACTACAAAAGCGATGTGAGGAAAGGCTGAAGGAACAAAGGCCTGGAAAAGGATGATCCCACAATGCGATGCCACACTCGGAGATCTGAAGGATGGGCCTGTGCTCCAGGAAGCAGACTTGTGCTGCGGGACCTCACGGACCGGCACAGCAACAGTGAGTGATCATGAGAAGAAGCTCAATCTCACCTCCAAGGAAGACCTCTGAGCAGTGTGACCCTCCAGAGATGGAGTGGGGAAAATGCCGGAGGCCCTGTGCTCCTGTCTCTACTGTATACAAGCAGAGGCTATTCCACGAGCTGTCCAACTCATATCACAATGAGACAAAATTCAACAATCTTTATAAGCGTCCCTTCCAACGTTAGCCCTTGGAGACTCGGTACAATGACCGCCTGAACGGTGCAGAGGGTGAACTTGGAGGAGCTCTGCTCTTCAGCATCCGGAGCAATGCCCGCACTCGGTCCTATTTTATTTTAGGACTCCACTTGAGGTGCTGGGTGGGTCTGAAGATGGAGACCACAGGGTGGGCGGATTTAATGCCTGTGCAGTGAGCTGTGGAGTCCGTGGTGACGTGGGCCGTCCTCCAGAAGGAGCCCTGGGCATCCGCCACGCTGAGGCTCCCTGCTGTCACTGCCTGCCCCTCCAGCTGGAACATGTATCCGCCAATTCTGTGCCCAAACGGGTGTGCGTCCCTCTGTGTGTATACAGACATGCACACAAGCTCTTCCCAACACAAATATATATTTAAGATTTACTGTTCTGGAAAACCTAGTGAATAATGTAAATGATGAAAGCCCACGTCTGGCAGAAAATATTGTTCAGGCAGCCTCATTGAAATTCAGCCTCTCATGCACACTTGGTAATACACACGCCGTATGAATTATGGATTCCGGGCTTTATCTCTCACACTACACATGAATGTTTGATAAAGATTGTTTCCAATATTATATTTTGTCAAAATGCTCATCTAAAATTCAGTCAAAAATGCTTTTCAGTAATTATGCTCTGACTTCACAGGGAATAGAGAAGGGAAGAAGGAAAGTGCCCCTCGGTGGGGTCATTGCTTTGTGTGTGTGTGTGTGTGTGTGTGTGTGTGCACGCGTGCATGTTTTCTGTATTTTTTTTTTCACTCTGGTATTTTTGCTAAAGGGGAGAGGAAGGCTGACAGTGTTTACCATGGAAATTCTTTATTCCTCCTGCACGTCCTCATTACAGAAGCAGCTACAATAAAGTCTACTTTTTGCCGTGCAGACACTCAGCAGTTCATTCGTTCCTCAGATATTTTTAAACTGAGTGCTGGCTCATTGGCAGCGTGGCCTCAGCCTTGCCTCCCTACGACTCATGCTCCCAGAGCTTCCAGTGGATCCTCTACAACACACATCCCGAGCCCCTGCTCCTTCACCCCAACCCTGTCCATTCCTCCAGTGGCTCTCCCTGTCCTACAGCAGATGTGGCAAATCTCTAGTGACCGGTCTCCACCCTGCAGTCAGAGGGGATGCTCCCACCTCAGAATCCTTCTTAACACACGCTGTGAAATTAACACACTATCAGTGAAATGAAGATGACTTGGGAAATAAACTCAGAAGTCCTCCTGTATACTACAAGGTGGAACTCAGCCTCTGGAGAGTGGCATTCCAGGCTTTTTGCAACCTGACCACAGCCTCTCTTCCCACTCCCCTCCAGCCATTCCCCTTCTGCCCTCTCTAAGCTCTCTAGTCTCCGTTCCATGCCTTTGCTTTTCCTTTTCCATCTGCCTAGAATGTTCTTCATCCCTCATCTCCTTGGCAAACTCCTACTCATGCTTCAAGACCTCTGTGAAGCCTCCTTCCCTTGCCCAGTGTGCATGCACGCTCTCTCTCTCTGCCTCTTCATATATACATATACATATATATATAAAATACATGCACATGCACGCACACATATATACATATACACATATGCATCCATCTGTATACCTACATATGTACATATTACAGAGAGTGATACCCCAGGAAAGCTTCCTAACACAGAGCAAGCATGCTACCTAAGTCCACGTCCCAAAATGACTCATGTGTGCATGCTGAATCACCATACAAAGAAAATGTAGGTTCTGTGCTCACAAATGGCACTGACCTTCATGGAGCTACAGGGTAGATGATGGGTCACTCACAGCACAGATATGGGAAAGGATCTTCCTTTACCTCCCCCAGTATCCAGGAAAATAAGTACACATTCATTAACTGCAGATTTCATAGAAAGCAAGGCAGGCAAGCATGAGTGGAGGAGGCCAAACTGACCTTACCATTTTCACCGTGGCATTCCTTTACTCCACGTGACTCGGCACTCCCAGCCCCCACCCTATCCTGCATCATCCTTGATGCCTCCTTCTCCCTCTTCACTCCCAACCTCCCAGAAACAGGCCCTGGGAAGTCCACATTTCAGACACCCTTAGAATCCCTCCATGTCTCCCCATCCCTGCAGCCCCCATGTGCTGCAAGCCACCACAGTCTGTCCTCAAGGAACCTGGAACAGCCTCCCACAGTCTTCCTGCCTCCTTCGTGTCTCCTCCAACCTATTCTCCATCTGCAGCCTGAGCGACCTTTCTAAACCCAAATCTGGTAATGTTGCTCCCTACAAAGAACTCTTCAGTGTCTCTCCATTGCTCTTAGGATAAAGACCAGACTTCCTCCTGTGGTTGAAAAGGAAGGAGCGGCGCTCACCACATGCAGCATTCTGTAAGGCCTGGGCATCCCCCATCAGAACAGTTGCTGGGAACAGCCACGATGGCCGTGCAGGGAATGTGAACTGAAAACCAGCTGGAGCAGAAGATCCTGGGGGCTGGCCATGTCCTGACCACTTTCTGCAACCTCAGCTCCCCATTCTGCAGCCTGCTCCCTGTCCTCCGGCCCCTCTCATTCTCACCTCCATGCCTTTGCTCTGCTACCTATCTGGTTTTCTGTTGTCTCCTCACTGCCCAGCAGCGAACTGGGCACCAAACAGGTGCCAAACAGGTGTTTTTAAAATGTGTTGGATTCCACGGGAAGCCAGGAAGCACGGGAGCCCCAGAGATCCATCAGGAACACTCGCTGCAGTGCCAGGCAGGGCTCCCCACCTATCAGCCAGGCATACGAGCTGATCTGACAAATGCAGCCTGGGCCCTGGGGTAGCGTGTGAGGAGGGCTGCTGACAGCTCTGAGCCCCGCCAGGGCTGAACACATGCTATTCTACAGCCACTGAGTATTTCCGCATGGCTCTGGTATGAGAGTGACAGCCCTGGAGTTCAGCTATTCCCAGGAGGGCTGGGAGCAGAGAGGATGCCAACAGGGAACCCCCGGGAGAATCCCTTGCCATAGTCTGTATAGATCTACAGCCTTCCTGCCTTTCTTCCACAAACAGTGCCTGCCTGCCTGCCTACTCTTCGCCAGGCACTGTGCTGGGAACAGGGGTACAAAGATGGAGGCTACAGGTCTCAGTTCTCAAAGTCCTCATATTCTAGGGGTCAGACAGACCACCCAGAAGACACGCACTGAGGGTTTGGTAGAGGTTGGTCAGGCTGATGTGTGAACTCAGAGTCAGGGAGTCCCAACCTGCACCAGGCCTATCAGGGAATCTGCCAGAAGAGGGAAGAGCAGGGCTGAGGTCTGAAGAATGAGTAGGAGATCACAAAGGGAAGGGATTGGGAGGCACTTCAGGCATCAGAAGCAGCAGGTTCAAAGGCCTGGAGGCTAAAGGGCACATGAGGGCAGTAAGAAATATTCAAGGAGTTCCACAAGGCCAAAGGCAAGGGCCAGATGGAAAGTTGTGTTGAGATCAGGAGTCTGGACATTGCCCTGGAAACTGCAAGTGGGCAGTGTGCACACCAGGTTACAGGAGGAGTCACAGCCAGAAGCAGACCTCACACACCTGTGTGCTTCGCAGCTGCTTCCCATCTTGTCTCCAGGACAGCTGCCATCCTCTCCTCCCCTCCCTGTATCTGCATGCCATTCCCTTAAAGAGAAGTGGGATTCCTACACCCAGTGAATCTCAGTGGCCTGTGGCTTTTCTGTACAGTAGAATTAAGCAGCAGTGAAGCTATGCTGGATCTTGGCTGAACTTTTAAAAGAGCTTCCCCTCTTGGTGCACTTGCTCTGAGGAATGCCAACCACCACATAGGAAGTCTAACTACCCCGAGACAGCCATGTTGTGAGGAAGCCCAAGCTAGCAATGCAAAGAAGCCTCATGGAGAAAGTGATGCCAGACAGAGCTCCAGCTGTCCCAGCCCAAGCACCAAACATGTAAATGAAAAAGCCACTGCGGACATCCCAGCCTCGGCAAATCTCATAGCAGCCCCAGACACCTGGCTATAATCGATTTGCTGCAGCCATCTCCATCTAAAGCCCCAGACGTCATGGAGAAAAGGCAAGGTATTCCTGCTGTGCCCTAGCAAAATTCCTGACCCAAAGGACCTTGAGAATTTAAAAATAGTTGTGGTTTTATGCTTTAAATTTAGAACAGTTTGTTATGTAGCAATGAATAACTGAAACACCAACCCAGTTATAACAGTGAGAATGTATTCAGCTACAAATAAGAGAAAACTATTTGCAGCATAGAAACAAACAAATAGGGAGCATTTTTCTTGCACATCAAAACCAGAGGAAGGTAGCTGCTCAAAGGCTGCATGAAATGAAGGCCAGCATGTTTACAGCTCTCTCAGCCTTGCCCTCAAGGTGAAAAGATAGCTGCTGCAGCTCCAGATATCATGTTCTAACTCCAAGCAGGAAGGAGAGGAGGAAAGTTTTGCAACAGCCACTCTAAGCCCCCTTTATACTGCGAGAGCCAAAGCTTTCCCAGAATCATCACCAGCCGACTTAGGTCATCTTAGGTCTTTGTGAACTTAGGTTATATGGCCAGTCCCAGCTGCAAAGGAGACAGGCAGTGTGGATAATGGGATGATCATAAGTGGCTTAGACCAGTTATGATCCATTTGCACTGCCACCCGAAACAAAATTTGGGTTCCCTTGAGCTAAAGAAACGGGGAAGAAATATTGGACGAGCAGCAGCTACATTTGTCTTATCCATGAACTCTTCTTCTTTAACTGCTTTATTGAAGTTTAATTGGCTCCAATAAACTATATGTCATATTTTAAATGTAAAATATGATAAACTTTGATGTAAGTTTAAGCCATGAAACCATTGCTGCCATCAAGTTAACAAACACATTCATCACCCCAAAGATTCTTCATTCCCTGTTTTCATTCCTCCCTCCTGCCCCTTGACCCGGTCCCCAGGAAACCAATGATGTGCTTTATATCACTGTAGATCAGTTCACATTTTCTACAGTTTCATATCAATGGAATCACACAGCATGTGCTTTTTTGTGTGCCTTCTTTTTGCTTAGCATAATTTTTGGAGATTCACCCATGTCTTTGTATATATCAATCATTCATTCCTTTTTATTGCAGAGTTATATTTTATGGTATGGGTATACCATGACTTGTTTATCCATTTCCCTATTAATGGACCTTTGCGTTTTTTGGCTATTACAAATAAAGCTGCTATGAATATTATGTACAAGTCTTTGTGTAGCCATGTTTCTTTCTTCTTGAGTAAATATCTACAAGTAGATTGGCTGGCTTATATGATAGATGTATGTTAAATTTTTTTTTTAACTGTCAGACTGTTTTCCAAAGTGGTCGTTTCATTGTACATCCCTACCAGCTGTGTGTAAGAGTTCCAGTTCCTCCACATCCTCACCAACACTTGATGTGGTCATTACTCCCCAACTTCTTAATTCCCTTAAGGACTCTGGTCCAGGCAACCTTTTAATAAATCATCTGTGGCCCAGTAGGGAAAATCACTGAGGAAAGGAAAAAGAAATAAGTGCATTTTAAAAACTTAACTTCCATGTGGAAGACACCTTCACATACATTATCTCATTTAACCCTAGCAACAACGTGCAAGGATTATTCATTTTCCCCCACCTCAAAAATAAGGAAACAGTCTCAGAGAGACCAGTGTCACACTGCTATGCCATCTCTGGTCTGTACAACTCCAAGGCGCTTGCTCATTCTCCTTTTGTTTTGGTGTTTGTTTGTTTGTTTGTTTGTTTGTTTGTTTGTTTGTTGAGACAGAGTCTCACTCTGTTGCCCAGGCTGGAGTGCAATGGCGTGATCTCAGCTCACTGCAACCACTGCCTGCTGGGTTCAAGAGATTCTCCTGCCTCAGCTTCACGAGTAGCTGAGACTACAGGCGTGCACCACCATGCCTGGCTAATTTTTGTATTTTTAGTAGAGATGGGGTTTCACCATGTTGGCCAGGATGGTCTCGATCTCCTGACCTTGTGATCCACCTGCCTGGGCCTCCCAAAGTGCTGGGATTACAGGGGTGAGCCACAGCACCCAGTCTTCATTCTCCTTTTCTTTCTGTGGCTTGGGCTCACTCTCTTTATCTCCAGAGATGACTTCCTTCTGGAAGACAAAAGGGAAATGGTTTTAGAATATAGCAGAGGATGGAGAACTGGGTTTGGGAGTAGGAGGCTCTCCCAAGATAGACATCAAAATCAGACCAGGGGAGGAGTCAGGGACAACTTTTCAAAGCAGGTAAATCTTAAGCTAATTTTTCAAAAAGCAGGAAAAAAATGTGGAAAAGCAATTCCAAGAAGTAGAAACCACGCAGAAAATCCCCAGAGACATGGAGCATCATAAGATGATCAGAGAACCTCAAGTGACTTGATGACTAGAGCAAAGGTGCTTGCAGGCAGGCCAGGAGGTGATGCTTGGAGAGCCTGGAGGTCATGGAGAAAGCCAAAGTGGTCGACCTTGCTCTTAAAAGCAAAAGGAAGCCATTGAATGTTTTAGGTAGAGGAGTGAAATGGCAGGCCTGTGGTTCAGAACATTCCCAGGAAAGGATATTATGGAAGCGGCTCTCTTAGAGAAAGAAGACCATGGGGAGAGGGGAGATTATTTCCAATTTCAAGGGGGTAATAATGAAGTCCAGAACTAGGGTGCCCAAAAGGACAGGTCAAGAGAGTGAGAATGGAGCTCTGGTCTGAGCTGCAGATAGAGTTTGGGGAGTCATCAGCATATGAGCTGCCACTTAAGACACGCATGTGTAGGTGAGGTCCTGCTATAGAATCAGACGTGTACTGAGTAAGCAGAAGAAGAGATGTGTTTTTTTAAAGGAAGTGGGAAGAAACAGAGAAATAGGAAGTATCACAGGAGAGCGGGTGTTACGGAAACAAGGCAGAGTGAATTTCAAGAAGGAGAGAATAGTCAGTATTGGCAAATGTCACAGAAAATCAGGAAAAGTAACTAGATGTGAATGCCCATGACTTTGGCTGTGAGGAAGATCACAGATGACCTCAACTAGAGCAGTTTAATTGGAGTCATGAAGACAAAAGTAGATGTTGTCATTGAGGAGTAATTCTATGAAATTACTCTGGAAAACACTCAGGAAATACTCTACGGTATGGACATCAGGAAAGCACTCCCAGGAAGCCTTGGAAAATAAAGCTATCAGTCATCTGCTAGAGGGGGCAACTTGGACTTGGAGGCCTTTGAGATAGAAGAAGCTGGAGAATGATTATGAGCTATTAGGAAAGATGAAGGGGAAACACTTGAAAAGAACAGGACACAGAGAGGATAAAGCATGGAGCAAGTTTCTGAGAAGCAGAGAATGGGTTTGGAAAATAGAAAAACCACTAGCTAAACTAATCAAGAAAATAAGCACAAATATGCATAACTAGAAATGAGAATGGGGAAATTACCCCGTATAGAGGAAATTAAAAGAATTGTAATAGATTACTGAGCTCAATGCTTTGAAAATAAATTTGAACACATGGACAAAATGGGTGATTTTCAAGAAAAAACATAAATGGTGAAAACTAGCCTTAGAAAAGATAGGAAATCTAAAGAGTCCAATTACCAGAGAAGAAATTGAGAGTGTTGTCAAAAAGCCACTATCCATTAAAGCACTACTTGTAGAAAGCTTTACAGGTAAAAATCCATCAGAATTTCAAGAAGCAGATAACTCAATGCTATTTAAACTGCTCCTGAATATTGTAGAGAGGGAGAAGAGAACTTAAATCTAAGAATCCAACAAAACAGTAAAAACAAAAGCCAAAAGGGTGAGACAAAAGACTATAGTATGATCTTTAAGACAGCATAAATGCAAAATTTTTAAATAAAATATTAGCAAGCAGAACATATATTTTAAAAGGGTATATGCTAACACCATGTGGGGTTTATTTAAATAATGCAAGGATGGTTTTTTAATGAAGGAATCAATATAACTCATGGTATTAAAATATCAATAAGAAAACCATACAATTCTCTATATATACTAAAAGATAAGTTGACAAAAATCCAACTTTGTTTCATGATTTAAGAACTTTTAACAAAATAGGATCTTATGGATTGAGATATCACAACTCAAGCTAAAACCCAGGATCATTTCTAATGACATATCAGTAGAATCATTCCCATCAGTCAGGGACAAGTAAAGGGTGCCCAATGGTGTCCCTTACATCATTGTGCAAGTCTTCACCCTGCTGTATCTGTGTCATTTGCCATGTGATTTTGCAGTTTCTCTTCCTAAAGACAGAGTATTCCTCCAATCCCCCTGATGTTGAATTTGGCCATGTGGATTGTGGTGGAAAGTGGTATAAATGAGAGTGCCAATTTTGAGTCTAAGATTTGAGAAGCATCCTCTGTTCCCATTTACTACTCTTACATTTCCATCCTTACCATGAAAAGTAGAGGCTAGAGGTTGCAAGACGGTCCGAGGGTGCTGAGGAATGCATGGAGCAGACCTGGACCCAACCTGCAGCTTGGAACCAAGCCCAGCCGAGGCCAACCTGCATCAGTCAACCCTCAGTCGACCTGCAGACACTTAAATGAGGATAAATGATTGCTTTGAACTCTGAACTTTGATGATTATTATGCAGCATTATTGCGGCAGTAATACCCATTGTAACAAATATTATTAAATGTTGTTTCCCACCTACTAACCAATGCAAGATGAGAAAACAAATGAGAAGTTTCAATATTGCAATGAGGATGCAAAATTATCATTTATTAATCATCTGATTGTATACTTCTAAAACACAGGAGGAAACCCCAGTTTTTAAAAACTGTTAAAACATTAAGAATCTAGTAAGAATTAATTCATATAAAAATCACTAGCTTTCCTATATAAAACAATAACCAATTAGAAAATCAAAGATCCCATCATCAGTAAAAATTTAAAAAGATAAAATGCCTAGAAATATATTTAACACAAAACGTGCTTAATCGATAGGGAACATTTTTTTCAAACTCCACTGAAAGACATAAAATAAAACTTCAATAAATGGAAAGATATTCCCTGCTCTTGGATTGAAAGAGTCATATGGTAAAGATTCCAATTCTCTCTAAATTAATCTATATTAGTGTGATCCAAAAATACCAACAGGATTTTACACTAAACTTGTTGATCCTATATATAACAAGAGCTGAGAAATTTCTGAAAAAAAAAAGGAAACCAACTGTATTGGATAGTAAACAGCATCATTTTACCAGCAAGAAAGCCACGCCTGTGAATAAACAGATTATAATGGACATTTGTCATATTTGTAGCCACCTAGTGTCTTTTGAATACTTCCTAGGTTTGGAGTAGGAACAGAGCAGAGCTGAGGTCAGAGCGGAGGCCAGAACTTGTTTTGTCAGTCACCCTTCCAGCCAGCACACAGGTGTGTGACCTGTGCTCTGCCAGCCAGGCTCCCCCATGTGAGCCTCAGATCTAGGAAAGGGCAACAGGAGAAGCAGGACCTGCATATGATCTGAGTCTGATGAGGGAGGCAGCAGAGACATCAGGCTCTTGGTGGGGCATGCCGTGGTATAGTTCCTGATGGCCACTGCCCAGAGCCAGCAGGGCCAGCTTCATACGTGTGCCCAGCAGTGGCAGCAGCAGTGGTGTCCTCCCCAGAGCAATCCCCAAGGGAGGCTAATGCAGGCTTCTTGGCTGCACAGCCACTGTGTCTGATTCTCTGGCCTCCTGGAGACCCCGTGAGCAACCCAACAATCTAAAAAATTCCTTTTCTGCTCCAACTGGCAGAGTAGCCTTCCTTGTTTGCAACTTCAAACCCTGGCCGATACACCGACTAAATGACTAGACTATAAGATCCAGAAATAGATCATATACTTCTGGAGGAAATCTTAGTAAAGATTTATCAAGCACCTACTATGTGCAGAGCACTATTCTGCATATTTATAATTATCTCATTCACCTTTACAGCAATCCTAGTTTATTACTCTCAGTTTACAAATCTGGAAACCAAGGTACAGAAAGATTTCTGCAATTCACATATAATTAAGTTGACATTTTAGTTCATTAGGAGAAAGAAACATTCAATAAATGATTTGAGGCTAGCTAGCCATCTGGGAAAATATGTGGGTCTCTACCTCACTCCTTACATGAAAATCAACTCCACAGAGATCAAATTGGAGATAAAAAAAATAAACAATTAAAGAACTGAAAGGAAATGCAAGAGAATGTTTTGAAATACTGGAGTAGACAAGGCTTTTCTAAGACACAAAATTCAAAAGCCATTAGAATATTGCTAATGTTGATTGTATCCACATGAAACATTGCACCCTGGCAAGGGAGACGAGTGGAGACAAACCAGGTGGAAATAATCAGCACCTGGATGGCAATAGACCAATGTGTGTAAAGATCTTAGCAATCTCCCAGCGACTTGGGAGGCTGATGGGGGAGGATCGCTGGAGGCCAGGAGATCAAGACCAGCCTGGACAACAAAGAGAGATCCCCACAAAAAAATTAAAAGCTAGCTGGGTGTGGGCTGGGCGCCGTGGATCATGCCTGTAATCCCAGCACTTTGGGAGGCCAAGGCAGGAGGATCACGAGGTCAAGAGATCGAGACCATCCTGGCCAACATGGTGAAACCCCATCTCTACTAAAAATACAAAAATTAGCTGGATGTGGTGGCATGTGCCTGTAGTCCCAGATACTCGGGAGGCTGAGGCAGGAGAATCTCTTGAACCCAGGAGGCAGAGCTTGCAGTGAACTGAGATTAAGCCATTGCACTCTAGCCTGGCAACAGAGCAAGACTCGGTCTCAAAAAAAAAAAAAAAATTAGCTGGGTGTGGTGGAAAATACCTGTAGTCCCAGCTACTCTGGAGGTTAAGGCAGGAGGATTGCTTGAGCTCAGAAGTTTGAGGCTGCAGTGAGCTATGATCATGCCACTGCACTCCAGCCTGGGCAACAGATAGAGACCTTTTCTCTTGAAAAAAAAGAAAAGAAAAGAAAAAATGTATAAATCAACAAAAAAATAACAGTAATCCAATGTAAAGAAAGGAGAAAGACACTAACATTTCACAGGAAAAAATACATATAAATGACTTATAGTCTTTCATTCTTTTAACTATGAAGAGTAAAACAACAGTGTGATATAGTTTCACCTCTGAATTTAATGAAGACTGGAAAACTCAGTGATGTGTATTGTTAAAGAAATCACAGGGAAATAGTGGTGCCCACTGTTAGGGAACAGCTGCACAGGAACACAATTTTCCAATACATATTTTAAAACTCGCATATCTTTGACTTTGAAATTCTACTTCTAGAAATTTATTCTGTGTATACACTTGTGCATGGACAAAAATACGAGTGTGATTAAATGTCTGTGATATCATTATTTGTAATAGCAAAAGCCTGGAAACCCCTAAATGTTCTTCACTGGGAGACTGGCTAAATAGTTAAGGACATGCAATAATTAGAATGAGTGGAGTGGAGGAACCATCTCTGATATAAAATAGTTTTTTTTTAATCTAGGTACAGAACAATATCAGCCAGGCACTGCCCATTAGAGCTGTCTACAATGATGAAAATGTTCTAGATCTTCACTGTCCGATACAGTAGGCACCACCCACAGGTGGCTGTTGGATGCTTGAAGTGTGGTAGTATGACTGAAGAACTAAATTTCTAATTTTAATTTTAGCCAAAATCAATTTAAATTTAAATAGCCACATGCGGGGCCGGGGACAGTGACTCATGCCTGTAATCCCAGCACTTTGGGAGACTGAGATGGGCGGATCATTTGAGGTCAGGCGTTCAATACCAGCCTGGCCAACATGGTAAAACCCTGTCTCTACTAAAAATACAAAACTTAGCTGGGCCTGGTGGAAGGCGCCTGTAATCCCAGCTACTCTAAGGCGGAGGCAGGAGGTTGCAATAAGCCAAGATCATGCCACTGCACTCCAGCCTGGGCGACAGAGCAAGATTCCATCTCAAAAAAATAAATTAATAAATAGCCACATGGGGTTATGGTGTTCGATCACTCAGGCTAGAAAGTACTCCCATTTTTGCGTTTGTGCAAACAACATTTCTGAAAAAAATATAGAAGCTTGTAACAGCCATTCCCCTGCCAAGGAGACTGAAGTATCAGATGTCTCCAGGAAGAAGAAGAGTTATATGTTCACTTACATTTTTAATATTTGAATCGTTTACTGGGTGTGATGACATATTCAATATTAAACTAATTAATGAGAGTTGAAAAAAGAAAGAGAGGAAGTTCTTGAGTGAGCTTTGGGTTTTCCCCGTGAAATAGAAGGGAGGGCCTCTGAGGGTGAGCAGAGAGGGCTCAAGGCAGATCAGGCTCCTGCAAAGATGAGGTCTTTCGGTCAGAGGCTGAGGGAAAAGGGGAGGGGCTGACCAACCCCAAATGAAGGAAGCCTGGGGTGCAGGGAGCACACTGTTCAGGTGGAGGCCAGAATCTCGAGGGATGGAAGCCACACAGTTCAGTGTGATATTCACCAGCAGCCCGAGTATAGAGACTAAGTCAAACAATTGGATTATCCCCAAAAGTTGTAAGCTAGAATTAAGGAAGAAGGGATGGACTGGATTTGGAGATATGAAAAAGGCAGAATCGACAGGATCTGGTGGCCGGTGTGACATGGGGACCGAGTGAGAGATCATCTTAGGATGGCTCTCGATTTCTGCCTGTGTGACTGAGTTGATACTGGGGCCACTCGTGAAATAAGGTTTATAAGAAGAGAAGGTTCAAGGGGAGAAGATCATAAGTTCAGTGTTGGCCATGTGGATTCAGCTGCAAATTTCTAGAAGCCTCCAGATATTTAGGTCTGGAGCTCAGCATGAAGGACTGGACTAGAGAGAGCCATTTGGGAGACAGCCAGAGACGGATGATAATTGAAGCCAAGAGAGCCGTGAGACATCACCCAATGACTGGTGTGACCAGGAACCTGTGAGAGTCAACACTAAGGCAAAGGGTGGGGAGAGAGGCCAGCAAGGGACCCCGAGAGTGAGCATGGAGGAAGGGCAGGGGGCAGAGCCAGGGGAGGAAGTGTCCAGAAACAGGAAACTACCTCTCAGGTTGTGTGCCACAGAAAGGTTGGGGAAGAGGGGCACCGAGAGACCCATTGCACTTGGCAATTAGCAGGTGACTCGGTGACCCCCATGAGAGCAATTTCGGAGAAGTACAAGAGGGAGCACATGGTTCCAGTAGGTTGAAGAGGGAATGGGAGGGAAGAGAAGAGACTGTGAGAGCAGGATCTTGTTATGCTGGACACTTGGCTATGATAGGAAGGAGAGAAAGGAAAAGTATCCAGAAGGGAGGCCGAGTGGAGGGATATTTTTCATGTTTGTTTTGTTGCTTTCAGATGAGAGACTGGGGCAGGATTACAGACAGTGGTGAAGGGTCTCTAGAAAAATTAGTAACAGTTAATGAAGAGAGGTCCCTAAGGAGGCAGGAAAAGGTGGGCTCCATGACATTGGGGGTGGCTGAGACCTCCTCTGAGCAGGAGAGGAAGGGGGCTGACACACAGCCAACAGGCAGGGAGGGAGGTGAGAAGTGGATGGAGGGTTTTTGTTTGATGGCCTCAGCTTTCTCGATGACATAGGACATGAGACCACAGGGATGAGGGGTGGGAAAATGGTGGTCTTTATTAGAGTAGGGTTGGGTAGAGTCAGGTAGGGACAGCTGGATTTGCCAAGGGCCCAGCTGACACTGAGGCCATGAGCAGATTGGGGTCCAGGTGTTCAGGCAAGATTCTGGCCATTGCTATCAGTTCACAGTAGCCTAGGGACAGCTGGGTTCATCCTGGCAGGAGAAGCCCCCACAATGGGGAGTGGAGCAGGGAGAGGAGTGGGGCTAATAGCGTGTGTTCAAGGCAGAGAGACACCTCAAGTCCACTCTCTACTGTGCAATTTTGAGCCAGTTACTTTATGCCTCCTCTGGATACCTCTGCAAAATGGAATTGCCCACTTCATAGGTAAAGCACTTAGCCTAAAGCCTGGCACTCAGAATGTTCTCTTTAAAGGTTCACTATAGCACAATCGATAGTATGGGGTAAAGGCTGGGTGCAGTGGCTTATGCCTGTAATCCCAGCACTTTGGGAGCCCGAGGCAGGAGGATCATTTGAGACCAGGAGTTCAAGACTAGCCTGGGCAACATGGCAAGACCCTGTCTCCAAAATAAAACAAAACAAAACAAAAGTATGGGGTAAAGATGTGGAGGGGACTAGGTGGAGGAGGTAACGTTCCATGGGGACTTGCTGAATCAGGCAGGAGAAAGCAATAGGAAGAATCAGCAAACTCTGCCTGAGGCCTAATCAGTGCCTGCTTTTGTAAATAAAGTTTTATCAGACACGCTCATGCCCACTGTCCATGTGATATCTATGGCTGCCTTTGTGTCAAAAGGGTAGAGTTGAGTAGTTGCAACAAAGAACGTGTGGCTTGCAAATTCTAAAGTAGTTACTGTCTGGCCCTTTAAGAAAAGGGTTGTGACCCTAGGCTAGGGGAAAGGAAGGATAGATGGAGAAAAATGAACACACAAATAGCAAGCAAAACCAGAAGTTCAGGGTGAAAAGATCTGGAAAGATGGAAGGTTGAAGTAGGAGATCATAAGAGGAGATTAAAAGTGGGAGTGGAGCCATGCAGAGAGCTGGCCATTGCTGGTGAGAAGGAGGGATGGCTATGGCAAGAGTGGGATGAAGGCTATTGGAAATAAGGAGATCTCTGATTTCCTAAGCTATCATGAGAAATTGATGGAATCACTAACTGGAATTACCCATGTGGATGTGGATAAGATCAAGAACAGAGATGTTGAGTCACAGACCATGGTGTCCAGGAAGTCACCAGAAAATACCTCCTCCAAAGCCATTTGTCCCTCCTTTGCTGTCAAAACCTGTTTTGTTCAGTGACAGCGTGACCTATCCTTAGGATTGAATCATGATTTGTCTAGGCCAAGTAAGTCATCTTGTTTGGTTTTGGCTGATATTTACTTTCCCATCCTGCCTTGCAGCTAGAAAAGGTCACATGATGCATTCTGGTCAATGAGACATCTCAGAAAGCCAGCTGGGGCTTCTGGGAAAGCTTTTGCTGTTCTGCTGAGAGAGAGGATAGTTCCAGGTGCTGCCTCTTCCACTTCCTGCCTTGAGCACAGAGCTGATGCTTGGGCCATGGCAGCCACTTTGTGACTATGAAGCAACAACTCTACGGGCTTGCAGGGCAGCATGCTGATGATGCTGGGACCGAGGGAAAGAGTTGGATCCTCAATACCATTATTTTACCACTGCCTACCTCCAGGGGAAATGAGGAAATGACTTTATTGCTAAGAACAATTTGTTCGTTTATTCAAAAGCACTTTTACCTGAAAGAGGAAAGAGACAGAGTGAAGAGATAGTAGTTGAGGGTGGGATATGTCAGCCAGTAGGGTTGGGGAGCAGTCAGTGGGTTACTGTGAGCAGAGGGTGTATGCTCTGGGAGGAGGGTGGTTAAGAACAGACAGGAGCAGGCTTTGGGTGTTGGGTTGAGTTTAGGTGCCTTTTGAAGGAAATTGGAAATGATCACTAAAATTTATTTTATATTGTAAAAATCATAACCTAGATATAATTGATACTTGCGAAACATATTTTTTGAATGTCGATATTTATTTTTCTGTATTTTCTTTAAAAGAAAAAATGGCAATGGATTTTCATTTTGTAATAGTTTTTATCTTTTTCTAATTATAAAAGTGAGATGTATTGAGACAATTTAGAAAGCACAGATAAGTAAATAGGAGAAACATTCTGGGTGTTTGATTGGAGGGCTGATATTTTGGAGAAAGAAGTAGATAGAAGTAGAATGGGTTGACAGAGACCGGGGCAGGGAACAAGAAGACCCACTCTAAGTTGCCTTCCTGGGCCTCAGTTTTCCCATCTGTAAAATGAGCAGGTGGGACTACAACTAGCGAGGTAGCCATCCAACCTGTCAGCACGGGAATGCCCAAGGTAAGCCACTCTCTATGGTGTTAATGTACAGTCCTCTCTGCAGATGCCCGGGGTTGATGATAGCCGGGCTCACACAGGGTGGCTGTAAGATCCCTCATTTTACAGGATGAGTACTGGGTGTGTAGGGGATGAAGTGATAACCATGGCCATTGTGCTGTCAGGTCTGAGAGTCAGAACCTATCTCCAGTGTTCGCTTCTACTGTTCCTAGCCGGGTCCTCTCTCCCCACTCTTGACCCTGCTCCCTTTCATTGCTCAGCAGCCTAACCCCCAAGCCCGTGAAAGGCAGTGGACCCAAATGATAGCCAGGCCACAGGGCCAGGCACCACAGGAATCAGGACCAGGGCAGAGAATAAAAAGGTCCCTCAGCAGAGAGGAGTCTCCACACACTGGCCCCAGTGGTGGTGAGTTTATTACCACCTCATTTGGCTGCGTGTGTCTGATGACTGAAATGGCTGGCTTTCCCCACCAGGGCACCGCCAGGGACCAAAGAATACAAGAACTAGCTTGGAGTTTATGTGTCTAGTGTTAAAAATCAATAGCTTCCCTCTTCGGGATGCACCCTCAGGGGCAAAATAGAACAAATTGCTTATTAGCTTCTGCCTGCACACTGGCAGATGATGAAGCAGCCAAGAAACTGGTCATACATCGTAATAAAGCACCCTTCACCTGCCATCCATCCGTAGACCAGCCAGCGCATACCTCTATCCCAGCGGCATTAACCCACACGGTGCTGGCGTCACTCACCCCTAATCACTGAGAGCAGGTCTGCAATGGTGGCTGCCTGGGGCTTTCCCAGAAGGGGAGAATTCAGAAATGCAAGCATGAGACTCCTGCCATCCTCTGAGGGTGGACAGTTGATTAAGGGCTCAGTCCAGCTGAGGGGGGTCATTGATTACTGTAAACAAGCTGCTGGAGATCGTCTACCACCATCCCCCTGCCCTGAGCACCCACTCCACACCACTCTGCTGCCCCATAAGACGATCCATTCTTATTCACAGAGCCAAAGCTCAGTCTACACTGATAGGAATTTTTATTTATTATCATAAAGCCACTAAGCAGCTGTGTGAACTTCTGCAGGTGCATTCCCCTTTCTGGTCCCTAACGTCTCCCTCCATAAAGGAAAGCTGGAGCTGGGATCTCAGGTGGAGACCATGCAGCCCAGGTGCAAGACTGTGGATACCATGAACCAGCCTCCACATTGGCCGTGGTGGGGGACGTGTCTTCAGAATCTCAACTTGACAGACATACTTCTTTTCCAAGTGTCCGAACACTTTCCATCTGGGAAGATCTCAAAGTATGTTAGGTGCAGGGTTTGAAATCCCTCCTACTGTCCAGGGAGTGGAGATTCCTTTTTCCAGTTTCCAGGACAGGAGAATGGGATTTAGAATTGGCTGGCAGGACACTCCCTCTCAGGAGTCTGAGCACGAAGGAGGTGACACAAAGACAGGGACATAGGTAGAGTTTTATCAAGGTGGCTGCAGCAGAGCTGTCCACAACCCAGAGACAGTGTGAGGACCAGAGTCTGGTGGCTGGGCCAGGGGCAGCATTTCAAGCACACTTCCTGCAGCGTGAGGTGCCTATGCTCCGGGGCTCTGGCTTGGGTCCCGTCTGTTTTCTAACCATCTAGGGGAGGCAGTGTGGCCTGAGGGTGAGGCTATAGCTTTGAAGTCTGATAGATTCAGGTATGAATTCCGTTTGTGCCACTTAAGGGAAAAGTGACCATTGGGTAAGTTACAAACCCTCATTACACACTCTTCTCTCCCCATAAAGTAGATCTGATAGTGACTGTTTTGTAAGCACTGTTGCTGGGCTCACACTGGATTGTGGGGGAAGTTTCTAGCCTGGCACCCAGCAAGGTCTCCATAAGTGGAGGCTACGTTAATGAAGAAGGAGCAGGAGGAGACTCTTTCACAAAGAGTTTCCAAGTGCCTGAACCCAGGGCAGATGCACCCGGCTGTAAAGAACCAACACAGCTATCCTGATGCACCGCAGCTGCCATCGCCCTTGGGGAGGGCCCCACCATGATGGGTGCTCCATGCCAGGAACTGACCTTCTAAGGAAGAACTGAGCCTTCTCTCCCTAATACTGCTTAAGTCAGAATCACCAAGTGTTTGATCTTATAAGAAGCTTAGAGATGCAATGGGCTGCTGCCTGCACGAGAACAGAGGCCTGAGAGGAGTCAGGCATTGTCCAGGGCCCTCGGCGAGTGAGCAGCAAGTAGGCAAGGGACCAACCCAGCTGACACTGATTCCCCCAGATGGAGCTCAGGGTTGGCTTTTGGTCCCAGGGTGTGCCAAGCTGGGGAAGCAGGCCTGCCAAGAGCCTGTTCCTCCGAGGTGTGTGCCAGCGCTGGGGCCAGATGCTCCATCCCAGGCCCTCTTCCACCAGCAACGGCATCTGGTGTTCTCCGAGGCTGGCCCAGCTGCTACCCAGCAGGAGGCTCATTTTCCAACCCAGACCCTTCTTTCTGCTGCTACCCCCACCCCTGGGATCTTCTTGGGGTCACACATTGTGGCCTTTCTTGGGTCCCCTTGGCCTCTGGCTACAGTGTCCACTCTTTCTGTCTCTGGTTCTGACTGTGATGTAATTGGGAGCTTGAAAAACCCTGATTGTTTGATAATTATAAGGCAGGGAAATTACCAGGGCTTCAAAGGTTGCTCCCAATTGCTGTATTAATTGTCCCCTCGTTATCTCTCCATATAAAAGACCACTTGATAGAGACAAAAGCCAGCTAGCTTTTATTTCACAGCAGCCTGACAAGAGGATGAGGGGCTGCTGAGGGCTCCCATTTATTTCTTCCAAGACACAAACCTTTGCTGGGACCCGACCACCAGGGCCACCACATGCCATACCCCTCACCTCGAGACAAGGACTAAGGCACAGCACCAGCCAGGCCCAACTTCCCCAGACAGCAGCCCAGCCACAACCCTGCCCATCTCCTGACTCAGAGATTCACGGAGAGACAAAGCCTGCAGATTCTCATCTGCATGTTAGACATGCTTTTCTTTGAGTGCTGGCCTACATGTACATAGGCGGGACACTGTGGGATGAGTGGCCAACATTTACTGAAGACTTTCCACATGCCAGGTACCACATGGACTGTTTTACGTGCTTCTCTTTGTAACAATAGCTGTGCATGTTATGTTTATATCCATTTTGCAGATGGGACTCAGAGGGCTTAAGTAATTTGCCCAAGGTCACCAGCCCATGAAGTGCAAGGCCAGAAGCAAACCGTGGGCACCTGCAATGAGTTCTTCATCACTCCACCCTACTACTCTCTGAGTATGTGTGCAGAGTGTGTGAATGTGAGTGCGTGAATGTGTTGGGTGTTGTGAACGCTAAAGATAAAATCTAAGCAGTAGATACAATAGAAAAGAGGACTAAGCAAAAGATCTGAAATTAGCCAGGCATGGTGGCATGCGCCTGTAATCCCAGCTACTCCAGAGGCTGAGGCAGAAGAATCGCTTAGAACCCAGGAGGCGGAGGTTGCAGTGAGCTGAGATCACACCACTGTACTCCAGTCCAGCCTGGGCGACAGAGCAAGACTGTCAAAAAAAAAAAAGACTCAAATCAGGCGATTGTTAAATTGTATCTATATGCTTGATTTGTTTATTTTTAAAGGACATGGCCATGCCTTGATTAAACCACAGAGGTAAATGAACTCATGTTTGAATGCTCAGTTGCTTTGAGCACCTACTATGTGCCAGACCCTATGTTCTCTGCTGAGAGTGGCCTGGAGAGTGTCAACTGCAGGTTTGCGACCACGGGCTCCCTGCCCAGCAGGATCTCCCACCCAGCCACAGACACAAGGAAAAACGGAGCCACCTCTTCTCCTGCCATAATCTCCCCACATTTGAAGCCTCTGTCTCTGCTGGGAAGACCTAAGAAGGCTATGTCTACAGCTGCCTTAAAGCTATTAATTTTTAAAAGCCATTCCATGAGAGAACTCAAAAGTCACCTACCTGGCCAAGATCTAGCCTTAATCGACAATTGATTATCTTTGAAACCAACAAGGCAATAAATCATTAATTCATAATTTGGCTGTTGTTCTACAACTGTGGTCATATTTATTAATGAAAGAAGAGCCATGTGTGGAATCTTCTGTGGCCAGGCCTCATGGGGCCTATCTTTGACTTCACTACAGTCTCAGGAAAGATATCCTGATCCCAGGTTACAGATGAGGAAATTGAGGCCCAAAAGGCAAACATGATTTGCCCCAGACCACACAGCTCCTAAATGGCAAAACCAGAAGAGGAGTCAGGCTCCCACCCCACGGCAGCTCTCTAACATTATAAAATGCTCCATCTTTACCAACAGCACACAGAGATTATTTGCAAAGGCAAATAATCCAAAGGCAGCAAACACCAGTGCCTAGAGCCAGGTTCAGTCCAGCCACTCAGAACCATCACCAGGTCCTCTTGCCAGCCCCTGACCAGGGCACAGCCTTGGGAAATAAAGCCGAGGGTGGCGGCTCACTAGCAGATATTCCAAACCTACAGGTGGACTGCAGTTTACAGCAAAGCCACAAGCAGCTGGTTTCCTCGAGCCTGCATCTTTTTCTCTCTCCCCAGGTCTGTTCCAAGGCAGCCTTTGAGTCTTAGCCTGTCTTGGCCAGTGGCCAAGGATAATCAGGAGGTCTCAGGAGCATCAGAACGGGAAGGAAAGTAAGGGGCGGGCATCCACGGCTTCAGTGGCAGTCGCCTTTCTAAGTTTAGGGCCAGGAAAATGGTTGCTCCTACTACTAGGCAACCTGTTGTACTTTTTCTCTGGTTTTCTGGAAACTAAAAGAGAAGAGCTACCCTCAATTGTTGGAGTTATTCTGAGTACATATTTCATGATATAGTTTTATGCTCCTATTCTCTCCTCACTCATGCTCCAGCTTAGTAGGTAGGAATTATTGTCTCCATTGTACAGATGAGGAAACTAAGGTTTAAAGAAGAGATATGACTTGACCTAGTTATATCCAGCCCCAGTCTCTGGTCAGCAAGCCCCTTCACTAGACACCATGCACAATGCCCCTTCCTCAAGGCAACCGGCATGGCCTTCTAAAATCATGGATCACACTGCCTAGGGCCCTCCACTGAATTTCCTTTCCACTTAGAACAAAGTCCAAACGTCTCAGCCTGGTCCCCAAAGCCCTCAGTGAGCTGCCTCCACCAACCTCTCCCTCTCCATCCTCTCCCACACCCTCTCCCTCCCCGTGCTTCAGCCACACCGGCACTCTTTCTGACCCATGAAACTACCAGTCTCTTCCTCAGCCCCGGCCTCTCCCTGCTGCCTCCTCCTCTCAGAATGCTCTCCCTGTAGAGATTTGCATGGCTGGCTTTTCCTCATCTTCCAAGTCTCAGCTTAAATGTCACCTCCTGAGGGAAGCTCCCTTGACCACCTCACCTAAACTGGTCCCCAGTTTAGTTGCTCCCAGTCCTATCACCCTGTTATATTTTCATCCTCACTTTGATCTCCCCTGGTCATTTCTTGTTATTTGTGTAATGTGATGTCCCCTCCACTGGAGTGTAAGCTCTATGAGGGCAGATGGGTGAGACTTGTTCATCTGTTTGCCCAGCACCTAGTGGGACATCAACAAAGTTTTGCTGAGTGAATGAATCAACAAAAGAATAACTCAGCTGGGCACAGTGGCTCATGCCTGTAATCCCAGCACTTTGGGAGGCCGAGGTGGGTGGATCACTTGAGGCCAGGAGTTCGAGACCAGCCTGGCCAACATGGTGAAAACTGTCTCTACTAAAAATACAAAAATTAGCTGGGCACCATGGCAGGCGCCTGTAATCCCAGCTACTCAGGAGGCTGAGGCAAACCCGGAAGGCAGAGATTGCAGTGAGCCTGAATCCATCTGGAACTCCACTGCGCTCCAGACTGGATGACAGAGCAAGACTCTGTCTCAAACAAACAAACAAACAAAAAAGAATAACTCACTGGGACCCAAATAACTGGGTTATGGAACTCTCCACCCTTACACCAACGTGACTCTGAGTCAGGAAATATGCACCATCTAATTACACAAGGCATATGCCAGGGTCTGCATCTCCAGGTTGGTAGCTTAGTCCACTCAGCTCTCATCCAAGCAGTGGGTGATGGAGCAGCCTGGCACATTGGCTGGGAGACCAAGAACAGCTTGCTGCATTGTGCTTGGGCATGCCTTACTTTTAGGAGGCAGCACTAGCCAGTAATACTGGTCTGGCCCTATACAGTGGACATTGGTATAGCCAGGGGTCCCTAGTACTGGGTTTGTTAGCAGCTCTAGTGAGCAACAAAGACAGCTGCATCGAAAATGCATGAAGGAACCACACCCTTAGCAACTCCCAAAAATCACCAGGGAAGGGAAGTTTGCAAGGCTCTGAAATTCCTGAGACAGCAGATGGATTCAGATCAGGCGATCAGCAGGTGCTCATGCTAGTATGAGAACCAGTGCCTGGTGACCAGGTCATTCAGGTCAGGCTTGACCCTGCGGCCCCCAGCCAGCCCTGGGGGAATACTCCCTGGACACACAATGGGTGGGGTTGCCATGAGCTGTCAATGCTGAGATGGGAGCTCTGAAGCCCAAAGCAAGCCAAGCTGAGTTGCATGAGACACAGGACTTGAGTGAGGAGCCCGGGCTGGGCCAGAGCCTGATGCCAGTTCCAGGTCCAGGGAAACAGCAAGTCAAGGTGAGAGCCAGTTCAGGAATCAGGGTCATGGACAAATCCAAATTCAGTCAGAGGAGGCCGAGGATACAAGGCCAGGTGATAGCTACCAGGCGGTTTGGGCATGTTCCCTGGTGGAGGAGGCCAGAGCTTCCTCAGAAGGCCCAGCCCCAGGGGCCATGGCCTTACCAGGCCTCCAATATG
Organism: Homo sapiens; assembly: GCF_000001405.40. Classification (NCBI taxonomy): domain Eukaryota; kingdom Metazoa; phylum Chordata; class Mammalia; order Primates; family Hominidae; genus Homo; species Homo sapiens. The sequence goes on from NC_000010.11 coordinate 78,851,548, forward strand.
GGCATCTTGCAGGCCGATTGGGACAGCAGGCACGGGCGGAAGCCTGTTTGAACTTTCTCAGCCTTGTATCTGAGGAGGGAATTAAACTGTTCTGTTCTACTAGGGCGTTTCATTGACTTCTGGCAAAACATGATGTCCTGCTTCAAAGGGAAGGCAACACACAGGCTTAGGAGGCTCGTTGGACATCAAAGGGCTATTAGAGAACAGCATCCTGATGAGCTAATTGCAAATGCAGCCCAGGCAGATGGAGCACATTTGCCCAGGAACATATGGGCTCACACATCCAGGGAGAGGGTGCCGGGGACAAGATGTGTGCTGGGCTTTGGTGGACCCAACATGTTTGCAAAATAATTCAAGATGTTGCCTCAGCCTCAGCTCCACTGCCCTCCTCTCCCCTCCCCTTCTGCATTCCATCAAGCTGGGGGTGGAGGACAGAGAGCAGGATCCCGATGCCTCTGAAAAGGAAGAGCCCTGGAGATCAGTGACAAGGACTGGGCCCAACAGACCAGACACTCCTCCCAGAGCCACAGGCACATATGAGTGGGAGAGAGGTCCTTCCTTATCCCCAGAGGCTGCTCCAAACTGTGTGCCCTGGACCAACAGCAGGAGGGGCGGGTACCAGTGGGCACCAGGATGGGCTATCCCCAGCCTCACCCACCCATCATTCTCTGCCCTGAAACAGTTGCAGAAGCCTCCTCCAGCTCCAGGATTCCAACATGTCAGGGAACCCTGAGACCATCCAGCCTAACTTATCCATCCCAGGGAACCCTGGGTCAGACCAGTGAAGGGGGCAGGTCCCCAGACCCTCACCCACCATGATAAGCAACTCCATTTTTATCTAGTTTGTATATCAGGATTATATGTAAGGTTTTCCTTGGAAAAAAAAAAAGAGCTCTACATTGCTGATCAAATGACTTCTCCGGAACAACCACTTCATCTTACAAGTCAGGAAACAGAAGCCGAAATGAGTGTGACTGCCCAGGTGACACACAGCAAGTTAAGGGCAGAGCCAAGACTGGGGTCCAGGACCCGGTGCTCTGGCCATCACACAAGGCTCACACCACATCAGTTCATATAGCCTGACCCTCGATGCCCGGCAGGGGTCCCAGGCCACAGCCAAGACTTGGCCTCCCTGGGCCCCCCCAAACACACAGCCTTCAAGGAGTGGGGGCTTCATCAGCAGGACCCTGTGCCTTCACAATCAGGAAGGCCCCTCAATGTCAGTAGCCCCCCACCCCTCACCAGGCTCAGCTGATGAAGGACAAAGGTGGCCAGGAGGCTAGGGGGAGCTTCTGAGGAGGAAGGCGGGAAGACACGTGGGAGGAAACACCATGTGAAATTAAGACTGACTCTGCTGACCCTTCTAAAATGACAGGCTGCAAGGACAGCAGGGAGGAGGGAGGAAATTGGAGGAGTTGCATGGGCCTTGGAGGTGGCCTTGTCCTGCCTATTTATTGTACAGATGAGAAATTCAAGACTGAGCCAGCAGGAGGCACTGCCCAAGGTCCACAGCAAGGCAGAGGCTGAGCCCTACCCCGACTAAAGCAGTCCAGAGGCTTTGGGCAGCTGGGATAAGCTCCCAATTCATCCACATGGCCGAATTCCTACAGCCTGGTTTCCAACCTCCTCTGTTTCCCCTTCCTCTTCACTCTCAAGCTCTCAGTCAGCATCCTGGCTTCTCCTTCACCACTCTGATCATGGTCTTAACTGATGGACTTATCCATGTGGTTCTTTCATAAATTCTGGTCTCCCCTGCCCCAGACCACAAGTTTCATGAGGGCAGGAGATATGCTTTGCTCCTTGCAGGATCTTCAGTGCTCAATATGTATTTGATGAATGAATGAGTGAATAGATGAATGAATATATCGTAGCTCTTTCTGACTTCAAAGCCTGCCACGGCTCTTTCCCACCATTGTGATTTTACTGATAAGCCCCTTACTCAATATTGAGGTGACTCACGATCTTATTCAAGTCTTTTTTTTTTTTTACTCCTATCTCTCCATTTTTCTCTCCACTCTTACCACCACCCCACACACTACACAGGCTCTGGACAAAGTCTACCCCTACTCCAGAAGACTCTGACCTCACAGGCCACAGCTTGAGACCTAAAATATCCCCTCCCCCACTACTACCCTTTGTCTAGATGACAGCATCCCCTTGATTCCCCTACAGCCAGCTCAGATGTCCCCTCTTCTTCCTCTCCTGTGAGCCTTCTGCCAACCCAGCCTCTAGGCAGCATAGCTGTCTTCCTCCTGGGTGGGCAACCATTAGGTACAGTTTGATAACTGGGATAGTACACATATATAGATGTTCCTTGACTTACAAAGGGGTTACATCTTGATAAGCCCATCATAAGTTGAAAATATTGTAAGTTGCCCATGCAACTTACAATCCTCAACCTGCTGAACATCTTACATAGCTTAGCCTAGCCTAACTTAAACATGCTCAGAACAGTTACATTAGCTCTCAGTTGGGCAAAATCATTGTGCAACACAGTACACTGTACAGTGGGAGTTGTTGACTCTGGTGATCACGTGAGTGATGGAGCTACAGTGCACTGTCACTGCTGAGCATCGCGAGAAAATATCATGCTGCTTGTTCTCACTTATAGGTGGGAATTGAACAATGAGAACACATGGACTTAGGAAGGGGAACATCACACACCGGGGCCTGTTGTGGGGTGTGGGGAGGGGGGAGGGATAGCATTAGGAGATATACCTAATGCCAAATGACGAGTTAATGGGTGCAGCACACCAACATGGCACATGTATACATATGTAACAAACCTGCAGGTTGTGCACATGTACCCTAAAACTTCAAGTATAATAATAAAATTTTTTTTAAAAAAAGAAAGTATCGTGCTGCCGTCTCCTGAATGTATATTAGTTTTGCACCATTGCAAAGTGGAGATATCTAAGTCAAACCACCATAAGACAGGGACTGTCTGTACAAGTAAGTATTTGTTTCCATGTTTGTTTCTACCATGAAAGACTGCGCCCTCCACAGGACTGGAAATGTGCTTACCTACCTCTGTGTCCCCAGATCTGGGGTTCAACCAAGGGAGGGCTTCAGACCCCTTGACTCCTAGTTCAGTGTTCTTTCTCAACTTCACATCGTCCCATTCCATTTCAACATTTCCTCCATCTTTCTCCCCTCTCTCAAGACCTACCATGTCTGGGACTTTCCCCTGGCCTCCCTTTTACCTACCATCCTCCTTTCATCCCATTCCTCCTCACTCCTCCTTCCTTCCTTCCCCATTCCTCCCCACTCCTCCTCAAAGAGGATCCCATAGGGAAGCTCAGGTGATGCCCAGATTGGCCAGGCTGATGCCTTTGGCTTGGGCCCATTATCCTCACAGCTCCCTGGGCCCAGTGGCCTATTGGCTCCCACCTAGAGGAGAGGCCTCAAACTGATGGCCCGCAGCCTAGACCTGCATGTGAAAATTTTAAGGCATTGCACAGTTCTATTTGGCCTGTGCAATGCTTTTAAAAACCAGTGCATTTTATATAGAAATAGAGATTTCCATTTCCTCCTGAAAATTTAAAATATCAAGCCTTTCTGGAGGCACTTTCTCACAGGGGATCAACTGGAAATAGTGGCAGTTGCTCTTTTAGGCAGGGTCTGTGCCCTCTATTTTGCCACAGGCCCCTCTACTCCCTATTGTGTGTCTTATCCTCCCTGCCTTGCTAATAGCAAAACTCTGCTTGACCCCTCTAGGCATCTGGGTTTGTGGCCTAGAGAATGCCTTGCGAGACTTTGTTTACTCCTAAATCAACTCGATCCTCCAGCCCATAGTATTCCCTCTCATTTACCCCCAGACAAGTATTCCCTCTCATTTACACACACACACACACACACACACACACACACACACACACACAGGCTACGAACCATGGTGCAGTGGAGCCCATCAGCCCAACTGCTGATGCTGTAGACAAGTGTCTCATTAGGAGTGTGAGGAAGGGAAGACCCTCCAGGGGAGGGGAAGGAAAATAGCATAAACACAGGTGGGGAGGCAGGAACACATGTGCAGGGCGGGAACACACCAGCGCAGAGGAAGCCAAGGTGCAGTGGGAGATGAGGCAGGCAGGTGAATTCCATGTTCCAGCTGAACTAGCGGCGGGCCAGCCCACAGGGGCTCATTCCTTCCACTCCTCAGTGAAGACAAAGACTGGGTCTCTTCAGTCTTGTGCTACCAGGAGCACAGTCTTAGTGACAGCTCCCTGTGCATTTTACCATCATGTAAAATGCTAGCCATAGCCATTGTTATGATTGTTGTCTGCGTTAAGGGCTTTCTGACTACCAGGGGCTGCAGGGAACTTGGTTTGCAAACATTATTGCATTTAACCCTCACTGCTCCATGGATAAGCATCACTACAACAAGAAAGGTCAGGGTCAGAAGGGTGAAGCAGCCTGCCCAAGGTTCCTCAGACAGTAAATGGCACAGTTGAGACTGCCTGGGTGCAGCGTCTGCGTCACCCCGCAAGGGTGGGCTTGCCAACAGTGTGTTCAGTTGAAGGGGTCTTGGTCTCAGCAGGAAACCAAGCCCTCTGACCATCTCCTTCCCTCAAGAATCTCCCCCAGATGGATCCACTGGAAAACAAACCCATCCCTGGCCACTCCAGCCTCTGAATGCAGGGGATGGGGAGAAGTGAGTGGGAAAGTTTGAATAAAATCCTCAGTCCGTGGGGCGGTAGGGAGTGTGGACTCTAGATCCAAGCGCTGCCACTTTCCTGGAGAGAAGCCTGGGAAAGATCCCCAACTACTATGCCCCTCTGTGTTCTACCCTGTGAGGCAGGGATCATAAGAAAAGCAACAATCATAACTGCACTTTCCTCTTGAGGTTAGGACAGAGGAGGAAAGTACTTTGAACAGTGCTGCACACAGTAAGAGCTTTGCTCATGGAGTGGCTTTACTTTGCTCCCTCCCATTCACCCACAACTTGGCTTTTCAAGTCCTTTGAAACACAGTGGGGAGCAGGATGCTGCCTTCCCTGTCCTCTTCCCTGCTGGGGAGGGTTCAGCTCTCTGGTGCCTCTCTGCTCTGCTCCAAGAAGCCCAGCTGGCTGCACCAGTGGCCTCACAGCTGTGCCCTATCTTGTGACAAGGCCCGGCTCATGGAGTGGGGCCAGCTTGGCCCTGTAGCCAGGGAGAAACTGGTTGGCTCCCAAGGAGTGCTCTGCTCTGAATGGGACCTGGCCAAGTGGGATAGTGCCCTCAGAATGCCCTCAGTCACCTAGCTGGCCTCTCAGGCAGGTGACATGCATGCTGACCCCCAACCCCAGGCCCCTCCCACCCCACAGTACCCACCAAAGCCCGCGGAGGCTTTTAGTTAGCAAAGACAGGGTGGAAAAGGGGTAGTGGGGGCCAGGAGCTCTTGGGCTCAAACCAAAGAGAAGGCCAGGGTTATAAGGGCTTTAAGTGACAGGCAGTCCAAGAACTTCCCTGCACCCTTGGGGAAACTGAGACCCTGAGAAGGGAAGGATCCAAGTTTGCATAGCAGGTGAGCAGCAGCAAGGGTGATTGTTCTTAGGAGGAAAGAAAATGGCTTTCATAGATCTTTGGGAAAGAGGACCAAGAAGTGTCCTCAGTGAGCCTCTAATCCCAGGTTTGCAAACTCAGGCATTGACAAGGACCAGGCAGGTAACTTTAGCAGGTGAAAAGCCAGGTAGGGACTTTGGTGGTCCAGGAGCACTTGGCCCATCTAAAGGAGATGCCCCTCCCCAGGACCTGCCACTTCTTTCACAGTAGTTTGATTGAGGTGTAATTCACATGCCATAGAGCTCACTCATTTAGTGTCCAATTCAATGTTGCTTAGCACATTCACACAGCGGCATGACATTCACCACAGTTCAATTTTAGAACACTTTTGTCACCGCAAAGGAAACCCCATGCCTATTAGCAGTCACTGTCCATCTCCTCACCACCCCTTCCTCTGCCCCTGGCCCTGAGCAACCACCAATCTATTTCTCTATAGATTTGCCTATTCCGGCCACTTCACATAAATGAAACTGTACAATATATGGTGACTGGCTTCTTTGACTTACTATGATGTTTTCAAGGTCCATTCATGTAGTAGCATGTATCAGAAATTCATTGCTTTCGTTACCAAATAATATTCCATTGTGTTGATATTCCACATTTTATGCATTCATTCACCATTTGATGGCTTTTGCATTGCTTCTACTTGTTTGGCTATGGCAAATAATGCTGCTATGCATGATGCTGCTGTGCATAAGGTTTTGTGTGGATATGTTTTCACTTCTCTTGCTTACATACCTAGGAGAGGAATTGCTTGATCATATTGGAATTCTATATTGAATATTTTGAGGAATTCCGCTGCTTTCCAAACTGGCTGCACCATTTTACATTCTCATCAGCAATGAAGGAAGGCTTCAATCTCTATATATCTTTGTCAATGAGGATGTCTGTCTGTCTTTTTTACTATAGCCATCCTAGTGGGTGTGAAATGCTCTTTGTAGTTTTGATTTGCATTTCCCTGATGATTAAAGATGTTGAGGATTTTTTCATGTACTTATTGGCCGTGTGTGTATCTTCTTTGGAGAAACGTCCATTTAGATCCTTTGCCCATTTTTAACTGGGTTATCTTTTTATTATTGAGTTGTAAGACTTCTTTATATAGTCTAAAGACAAGCTCCTTACCAATCCTATACGATTTGCAAATATTTTTTTTCATTCTGTTTGTCTTCTTTTCACTGTCTTGATGGTTATCATTTGCAGCATAAAATTTTCTAATTTTGATAAACTTCCTTTTTTTGTCACTTGTCCTTTTGGTGTCATATCTAAGAAACTTTGCCAAATATGAGATCATGAAGGTTTTACACCTATGTTTTCTCCAAGAGTTTGATAGTTCTAGCTCTTACATTTAGGTCTTTGATCAATTTTGAAAAATTTTTTTTTGAGACAGAGTTTTGCTTTTGTTGCCCAGGCTGGAGTGCAATGGCATGATCTCAGCCTACCACGACGTCTGCCTCCTGGGTTAAAGAGATTCTCCTGCCTCAGCCTCCCAAGTAGCTGGGATTACAGGTATGCGCCACCACACGCAGGTAATTTTGTATTTTTAGTAGAGATGGGGTTTCTCCATGTTGGTCAGGCTGGTCTCAAACTCCCCACCTCAGACGATTCACCCGCCTTGGCCTCCCAAAGTGCTGGGATTACAAGCGTGAGCCACCGCGCCCAGCCAATTGAATTAATGTTTATATGTGGTGGGAGGTAGAGGTAAAAATTCATCCTTTTGCATGTGGAAATCAGTTGTCTCATCACCATTTGTTGAAATGACTACTCTTTCCCCATTTTGTTATCCTGGTCCCCTTGTTGAAAATGGCACCCATGACCGTAAAGGTGAACATTTATTTCTGGACTCTCGGTCCTAATTCTATGCCAGTACTGCACTGTTTTGATTACTGTAGCTTTGTAGCAACTTTTGAAATCTGACTTTGTTCTCCTTCAAGATTGCTTTGGTTATTCTGAGTCTCTTGACTCTGAATTTTAGAATTCTGACTAATTGACTGATAAATTTTTAAATTAGCTTGTAAGTTTCCAGATTCAGCCACTTTTTGCCACATGAGAATATGAGACTATTTTTTTCTGAGTCTTCTGATTTTTAAAGAGAAGCCAACATTTTGGATTTTTTTAAACATAAAATGTCCTGGTTTGAAAGCACTATTCGGGCCAAACAAAACAACCTTAGCAGGCCAAATCTCAGGGCCACTAGTTTGCAACCCCAGCTCTAATCCAAAGCCCCAGAATTTACAAATGGCAAACTAAGATCTAAAGAGGACAGGTTCATTTCCCGAGGAAGGTCACAGAGCAAATAAGTTGGGGAACTGGGCTAGGACCTAGAAGTCTGGTTACGAGACAAGTGCTCCCCAGCTTCCCCTCCTCCAAGCAATGTTGAGCAGCATACACTAAACCCAGAGTGGAGACCCATCACGTGTGCCTAGTGAGGTTTAGAGCCCGAGCCCCTATCCATCCCTTCCAGCCCAGGGATGCTGGGCTCCCGAGATGCTGGTGGCCCCCTTGGTCTCAAGGCTGAGGCCCAAGTCTTAGCCTTGCCAATGATCTCTAAATACACAGACTCCATCCTGTGTCTCACCAGCTCGTGGCCCAGAAACACGGGGTGTCCTCTCTGGTGATCTCCTGCCATCTAGGGAAGGAACTCTGAGTGGAAGAGTAAGTGGCCCTCTCCCTCCCGCTACCTCTTCTTGGGGCTTCCACAACCTCATTTTAGGAAGGAAGCAGAAAAATCAGTAGTGGCCCGGAAGTCTGCAGCCCCCACAAAGTAATTTGGAGCAGGCAGAATCAGTGAAAAGAATTTATCAGATTGAGAACTAGGCGCGCCATGTGGCCAGAGCACCGGGGCTCAGGGACCACAGGCTGCAGCCCTGCTCTGCTCCTGCAATTAAGATGATAGCATCAAGACCACAGTAATCCTCCAGATCGTAAACTGTGTCACAAGGAGCCTCCTCAGCAGGGTGGATCCAGCAGGTAGCTGGTCATAATTTTTTTGAGGCTGCCTTTTTGACTTTTTTTTTTTTTTGACAGCAATGCCAGCTCTAATTTTACTGCAAGGTGGCAGAATTTCATTTCATACTCTCTGTAAAGATTGATTCACTGGAGTGTAAAAAAAGGAAAAAAGAAACATACACACACCCACCACCTTGAGGTGTCTCACATTTTCCATTCCTGATCGGCTCTGAGAAATTGAATATTACAACATGGTGATGTTCGCAAATTTTTCTTTAAATCGTTTTTTTTTTAAGTCACTGGCATTAGGACTCATAGAATCCTAAAAAGGAATGGTGAAAGGAGCCCTGGAAGCTTGTTGCACCTAATCCCCCACAACCCCATGACTTGAGAGTTGAGGACTCTAAACAACAGAGAACAAGGGACTTTCCTAATGTCCTACCGTGCGCAGCTGAGTGGGCTGAGAATGTAATTTTAATGGGCACACAGCATGTAAAATCTGCACGTCCCTTTAGATGTCATTGACTCCAGGGCATTTCATTTTATAACATGGGGCTGAGGCCCAAAGATGGGGCAGGACAAACCCAGGTCCAAGGGGAGCAAGGTGGCAGCCCTCACTGTGACACAGGTCAGCAGATGTTGAGTCCACAGATTGCCTTGCTTGATTAGGGGGAGCCCACAGCCTTGCGAGAGTAGGGTGGGGAGAATGGGAAGAAGGGGAGGGCACTTTGGGGTGAGCAGGAAGGTCAGGCTGGGAAGCAGACAGACCAGAATATCCCAGGGACCCTTCCTCTGCCCCCTTCCTTTGCCCTTTTCCCCAGACATACCCGCTAGGAACAGGCCAGGATGTCTGTTCCACATCAGTGTGCACCCAGTCTCCACAGAGGAGGTGGCACATGTGAGCAGCTCTAGGGAACACTGCATGTGGACACACGGAAGGTAGCAGGTGGCCCTGGGAGAGAAGAGATAGCCAAGAGGACCTGAGATTCCTGAAAGGTGTTGCCAAAGCTCTGCCACAATTTATTCTGGAAATGGCAGAAAGACGTGGACTCTATGACCACATAGTTGGGTACAACTTATTATCCAAGAACCTATGACATTCCCAAGTTCTGCAGAATGTGGGTTCATGGTGACCCAGAAGAAAGTATCTCTGGAGGTCCCCAGGGTGCTGCTCTCTACCCTTTGCTATTGATAACTTTGATTACGTTCATAAATGGGCTTACAGGTCAACGTGAATCCATTCAGACGGACAGGAAAGCAAGTGGGAGGGATGACAGCTTCAGGATTCCAAACAGGGTGTCTACACACATTCATTAGGTGCCTACTATATGCAAGATCTTTCTGTCCTTCGGGACCATGAAGACCCTTTTCCCTGCAGAGAATGAGGAGAACATGCAGTGAGGGCACTGGGACAAGGCAGCCCCAGGTGCTGCAGCTGGAGCCCAAGGCATGATAGGGCCAGGGCAGCCTGATGGGAGCCCAAGAGCACCATGCATCTGCCCGGGCCCCTCATGGGAGGGCCCAGTGCAGAGGGAAATGTACTGAGTGTGGGACTGACAGACTGCTGGCACTAAGCCAGTGACAGCATCCCTGTCCTGTGAGTACCCTTCTCTCTCAACACAAGAGTGGAGCCAGAGCCAGGCAGCCACAGCCTCGGGAGTGAGAAGGAGCAGGTGGGCAGGCTGCCACCACCACCAGCTGCTGCCCCTCACTTTGAAGACAGAGCTAGAAAGCATGCAGGCCCTGTGACCCAATGAGACAAGGGCACCCAGGTGGTACCCCATGGTGGCCAATCCTGGGAAGGGCGAGGGGCTCCCAGCTACACCCCCCAAAACTCCTCTTTAACCCTGTCAGTGCCCACCCTCTAGCATACCAGTCCATCCCAACACCACCCCTCACCCCAGCCTTCATCTCAGTCGGCTTCCTCCATGAAACCTGCATGAACTCTAGCACTCTCCCTTCCCTGGCTGTGGGTAGCCCTGATTCATTTGGCACTGGTCTTTCCTGTGCTTAGTGGCCACGCCCAGAGGTCCTGTACAAGTTTAGAGGGCCCTGCCCCATCTCTGGGCAGTATCCATCAGTCCCTTCCTTTAGCCCCTGAGTCAGCTCTTCTCCATCCACAGCCACCATGTGGGGCAGCCTGGGCTCTCTGTGCCCATATGGGGTGCCCTGTGATGTGTTTATTCCATAATAAACTGTATACCATGCCCTGAGTTAGGTGCCAGGGATGCCCCAGGGAACAGGACTCCAGCCCCAACCTTAGAAACTGTCTGATAAGGACAGAACCCAGTAAATGAACAGTGACAATCCAGGGACCATTCCCTGGGAAGGCAAATTCTGGGGCCTGTGTAACTGCCACGTGGCAAAGGCACCTAACTTGCAGGAAGGGCATCTGAGAAGGCTTCCTGGAGGAAGTGACACATACACCAAGAATTAAAGGATTAGCAAGAACTTGCCAGGTAAAGAGGGAGAGAGTGTGTTTTGCAAATATACACCTATTTTTTGAATTCCTATTTTGTACCAGGTATTGGGGATCAGCAGCAAACAAGACAAACCCCACTGCGACGGACTTCAAAGTTGGGTATAGACGCTGATGTGACATGAATAATTACAACAACATGAAATTACGACTGCGTAAGGAGGAAAGGTCCAGGATATTGAGAACATAAAAAAGGAGACATGGACTGGAATGCAGATACACAGGAGTCTCGGGGAAGGTGAATTGAGGCTGAAGTTTGAGGGAAGAGAAGAGGTCTACCAGGCAAAGGTGCATACAAATGGAAAGAAGAGAATTTGGGGCAGAAGAGTCTGTGTCAATGCCCTGGGGCAGCAAGGAATTTAGTACTTTAATAGACCTGAGAAGAATGAATAAGACAGACTGTTTGGGGCACAGAGGCAATGTTTTAGTTACCCTTCATCACTATGGTGAACATTGTGCAAGGATGTTGAAGGTGGAGCATCCTTTAATAGAGTTTCCAGCAGAGGACTCACCAAGAACCCATGACAGCACCACAAGAGAAAGCCCAGTTACCCACCAACCTGAGAGAAGGGACAATGCCAGGTCCCACCTCCCTGCTGCAGGAGGCTGTACATGTTGCCCTGGATCCCCTCTCCCGCTAGGCCTCCAGGTTATCACATTTCTTCCCTATCTGTCATCACAGGTAATGGCAGAACATTCTCCCCATTTTATGGATATGGAAATTGAGGCTCAGAGAGGTGCAGCCAGGCACCCAAGGTCATGCTTCCAGGAAGCAGGTATCCAGGTTCAAATCCAGACCACATGACCCCAAGGGAGCCTCTTTGCTCTCCTCCCCCACGAACTCAACATGTACCCAGCACCACTTCCTCGCTTGTTGTAGGTGTGGGATTGGATGGCTCAGACCCAAGGCCCAGGCCCACAGCCTCTGGATCCCTGTCCAGTCCTGGGAGGTGTCCTGGCCCCTTGCCTCTCCAGCTGCACCCGGGAGCCTGCTCACTGTGCCTTGGATTTTAATGTTAATTGCCCATAAAGTTTTTCATCTCAGCAAATCACAGCTGTGACCTGCAGGGAAGGGGGCTGAGAAGAAAGGTTGTTAAAATGTGGAATTTGAAAATGGCCATCTCCTTTAAAAACAAAAGCATGTTTTTGCTACAGGCATCTCAAGGGCCTCTCATCTCCTCGGTCACCCGCCAGAGTGCATGTTGCTTGTCAAGCGATTCCATCTTAATCGACAATTCAATTGGTCCAAATTACATTATGTATGTAAATTTCCATCTGCAAATCAGCCTGGCTTGGACATCACTCTCTCATCTGTGCGCCACTGCCCTGGTCTCCAGCTCCAAGGCCCACCCTCTGCAGGCCAAGGGAGAGGACCTGCAGGGACCAGGAGGTAGAGCCAAGGGCTGGACATCATGTGTCACAGAGTCACACTGTACCCAAGCAGCAGGGTGCTGGGGGATAAACCAGGCTCTGGGTCCAAGGTGGGTTTCAACCATCAATTTTCAAAGAGAACAAACTGGGGAAGCCCCTGCGGTGGAGCCTGTCCTCTGATTTGAAGCACAGACAGAATCTGGTAACACTTAATGATGATGCTATCTACTAGGGAGGTGGTTGTGTATAGCAGATTAGAAAGAGCATGGACACTGGAGCCAGACTCCCTAGGTTCAAATCCCAGCTCTGCCACATATCTGCTCTGTGGCTTTGGGCAGATTGCTTAACCTCTCTCAGCCTCACTTCTCTTTTCTGTAAAATGGAGACAAGATGGCATCCTCCACATGGAGTAGTCATAAGGATTGGATGATTTGAGCTAGAACAGTGCCCAGCACCATGTAAGCATTCACTGTCACCATCATCATCATTACTACTGCCACCATTTTGCCACACAGCATGCAAGAGCCCTTCCACTTGTTAAGTGCCATAGTGAACCTGCTCAATTTGATAGGGTGCAAGCTGGCAATGACCTGCTTTCTTCTCCCCACCAGGGTGGGGAGCAGGGTGAGGCAAGGGAAGCACTCATCTTGGGCACATAATTTAAGAAAGCATCAAAAAACCTCAGTAATAAAAATAAATAATATTTTAATGCAATATTTTTCAAAAGCAACATTTATGCAAAAAACTCGTGATGCACAAAAAATCAAAATGAAAACCCACTTGGCATATATGGTTCTTTTCCTGAGCTGAACAAACTCTTGACAGGTTCCATCCCTTTTTCCTATCACTCTTCTGTGATAAAAAGTCATCTGGTCACTCGAGTAAGCAAAACGAATCTTCTTTCAATAATAAAAAATGTCCAGTCCAGGTAAGAGCCCACTCTCAGCCCACTTCCAGCCTGTTCCTGCCACCGGTTTGGCTGGGATGCCACTGCCTTGAGAAACAGGGGCAGCCCAGTTCTGCTCTCCTGACTTCTGCCCTCCTCCTCCAACACATCCCTTTGGATTCTGACCCTTCACAGGGAGGCCCAGGGAGAGAGGGGATCCAGGACAGAATGTACAGCCTCCTGCAGCAGGGAGCTGGGACCTGGCACCGTCCCTTCTCTAAGGTTCGTGGATAACCGGGCTTTCTCTTGTGGCGCCGTTATGGGTTCTTGGCGAGTCCCACGCTGGACACTCTATCATCTCAGTTCTGTTTCATCACCTGCTGGATGAAACAGATGTTCACCTCCAGGTACTTCCGCAGTTCTGAGGCATCCGGGGGTCCTTTTGAGGCCGTATTGCCCCCTGCCCCTGCTCCCTTTGGGGAGTTACACAGTCAGCCTCTAAGACACAGGCCATCTCACCTGCACCCTTGCTGGCAGCCTCTGTTCCCCCCTCACTGTCCCCTCTGCTGCCTCAGCCCCTTCCAGCCCCAGCTGCTCTGCTTCAGACTTCCTGGGCATGGGGCAGACAATGGACATTGTGTTTGCCAAACCTAAATATACCCTTGCCAAACCTTCCTTATAAGCTTCTCCCACAAGGCAAGAGGTGAGAGGGGAACCAACGCCCAGCAGCCCCTGCTGCCCCAGAGGAAGCTTATCTTGGCCTCTCTCTGATCCCTTTGTGGCAATGAGCATTGAGCTAAGGGTCACAAAACCAGCAGCCACCACCTCCATTAAAGCCCAGCCGAGCAAGTCTAGAGCCCCGTTTGGAATAGATGGTTTCTTGGCCTCGCCTGCTTGGTTCTCAGCCTTGGGCAGTCAGCCAGAGCTGAGGCACAAACAGAGATGCCTGTGTGTTCACCACATCCCGAAAGGCAACTCTCATTCTTCCAGGAACAGATGAGGCATCAGAGGACCCCAGAGACAAACCCCCACCACCAGTGGTGTGGCAGTGCTGAGACACAGCCCCTCAGCCTTCTGCCTTCCCCCAGGCCAGGCTGGTGTTGATCAGAATAGACATGGCCCTAGTGCAAAGTGCAAGTGGTGTTGTTTGGGAGTTGACAACCTTCACAAAAAACACAGTCAAGACACATGCTTTTAGTAAGCACCTACTGCATGCCCAGGCCCCACTTGTTCCAGCAGGTGATGAAAGCCTGACCCCTGACCTTGGAGTGTGTGGAAACCAGATGACAGTTTGACCCACACACAGGCCATGAGGGGAGAGCAGTGTGAACAAGAGGCCCCTCCCTGACCCGTCCTCAACGAGGGAGAGCTACCCAGAAACCTCCCCCAGAGAGCTCCTTCAGGACCTCAGCAAGTCCCCAGGCCTCCAGGCAGGGCCTCTTTTAGCAGTTGGGTTTTGATGAGGGGAGGGGGTCGATGAGATACAGGCTCCTCCTTAACCAAACACACTGTCCGTGCCACCCAGCATCTTAGGGCCGGGCCAGGGCTCTGTGACCTTTGGCACATGTCTGGGCCTTTCTGGGCCACTGAGCCTCTACTGTCACATGTTTATCTGGGAAGAATGAAGAGAGTACCTCACATCAAAGGACGGGGGAGAATGAAATGACGGGGTGCATACCCAGGGTCAAGAACGGTATCTGGTGCACACTCAAAAGCACCTTATTGGAGCAGGATGGGCCTCCTGCTGCAAGCCAGGGCCCTGCGCCACCAGAGGACGGGGCCAAGGGACACTGAGCAGTCCTTGAGTGCCCCATCTGCGCTTCCCAGGAAAGAGAGGGAAAGTGGTCTCACGTGCTGACAGGTCAGACATTCACCCAAGAAACACCTGCCCAAGCATAAGGCCTTGAACCCAGTAGGTGCTCAGTAAATATGAAGCCACTAAGTCCCACTGAATGGGAACAGGAGGAGCAGAGCTGGGCCAAAGGAGAGTGAATTCAAAAGTGGATAATGGAGGACTTCCCAGAAGAGGTGCTGTCTGAGCCAGACAAGGGGAAGAAGGAAGCACCGACCCAGGGTGGGGGCACAGAAAGCTCGCCCAGCCAGAGGCTCAATGCCTGGCTACCAGGGCAGCCACGGGTTCCCCAACCACACAGGATCACAGGGCTCTGCTCCTCTTCTCTGCCTGCCCTCCCCATTTCACAGTGCATTCCCTGAGGGCAGGATTGGATCCAGCCCAGACACAAGGGTGGTCCCAGCACCCAGGCTCCTGCTGCCTCAGGACTGGTGCTCTGAAGCATTTATCTCAGTGCCCCTTGGTCTCTGGAGGCTGAGCTGCCAGGCTGTGCACTATCTCTCCCTGGGGCTCTAACCCATTGCCTCATTCATTCAACACTATCCCGGAGCACCTTCCATGCACCAGGCACTTCTGCAGTGCTACAGATACCGGGGCAGACAGGACAGTGTCCTGCCACATGGGGCTAGGAGTCTCCAGCAAGCTAATTGTGGTGACTCTGAGGCCTCGCCTGCTTTCCCAAACTCTTCCAGTGGGGAAGGTCACCTCAGGCTTGAGCCTGGCAGTGGGGAGTTTTAAACTACAGAGAAGAAGAAAAGCCGATCTCCAATGGGAGTGCTGGGAGGAACAGAGATAGACTTAATCAGTTTTAAGTTCCCTTTCAGCCCTGCAATGCTCTGAATCCTCCACTCCTGAACACTTGAGAGTTAAACAGAGAGTTCCAGCCCAACCAAAGCCCAAGAGACTCCAACTCTAAGGAGATGGGAGACCCTAAGCAAGTCCTTTTCTTTCTTTGGACCAGCACAATGAGAGGCCTGGAAATTAGGGTTGCCAGGGCCCTCTCAGCAGACATCACCCAAGATCCTTGGCTTTCCCTGGGGGCAGGGGAATCCCATAATAACACCCACCTAACAGTGCCCACAGACAGTCCTAGGGCTGTGCTAGGAGTCCCTCCAGGCCCCATCGAGAACCAGGCAGGGCCCTGGATGGGGAAAGAACAAGCCCTGGGCCCGGACCTCGGGGAGGAGGAGTGCATGGGGCCTCTGGGTCTGGCTGTGAGTAGCCATAGAGTTGATAATTCCAACCCAACCCTTTGTACCAGGCCTGCGGAGGCCATCATTCTGGCCACCCTTCACCTGGCCTGTCTCAGATCATTCTGACCACCCTCTGCCCATCCTCTTTCAGATGCTGCTCCTGCTTTGGCCATGTCCCAGGAAATCACGCTTCAGGTGAAGCCTTCAGCCACCTGCTAATGGGAGTGTCCCCTGCCCCGCCCCCCACCCCCTACTACCATCCTCTCTTAGCAGCTCTGGCTCTTCCAGAATCTCCTCTAGGGCCACTCCAGCCACTCTCTGTGCCCCAGTCCCTCCAGCTGCATAAAGTCCCCTTTTCTGCTCAAGTTAGGGGCATCTCCTGCTCTAACAGAGCCCTGTCTCCTGCGAGACATTGCAGGAGATCTGCTGTAAGGCTGTCTGTCCCCTACTGACCACCTCTTTCCATGGGGAGCCCAGACTTCGCCTGGCTTAATTCTCAGGAAGAAAGCCCCTCAGGTACCTGAGCTTTAGTATCTAGAGGGCACTGAGCATCCATCACCTCAACCAACTTGGCAAGTGGGCAGAACAGGCAAGCAAATAGATGAGTAAACTGAAGCACATAGAGGGAAAGAGCTTTGGCCAAGCTCCCCCAGCAAGTGAGCAGTGCATCTGACATTTGCTTCTGGTTCTCCAGAAACTCCAGGCAGGACTTTTTCCACAGTACCGCACAACCCTCAGTACAGCACTAAGCAGGGAGAAAGAAGAGTTGGCACCTCACCCAATGTCCCAAATATTTTGATTGGCTAACAGCACTTACTTTATTTATTTATTTTTTTTAGACACAGAGTCTCGCTCTGTTGCTCAGGCTGGAGTGCAGTGGTGCCATCGTGGCTCACTGTAGCCTCAAACTCCTGGGCTCAAGCAATCCTTCCGCCTTAGCCTTCCGAGCAGCTGAGACTCCAGGTGAGTGCCAATGGTGTGCTTTTAATGTTGCATTTCAGTGCTGTTGGAGGGTCATGTGCTTTTCAGTTCTCCATGGGCCCCACACTCCCTATGGTCTCATGTCTTCCTCCTGTCCTCATTTCTGTTGTCTGCCTTGTTCCTGGAGGTAGCAGAATCTGTAACCCTACTGTGCCCCTGGGAGCTGGTCTGTGTGCTTAGCTCGTCTTCACTCCGGCACTGGCCACGTTTCCTTTCGCCCCTGCCCTTGGGGCACTTAGTACCTGTCCTTACCTGCAGCCCTGCATTCTTCCTCCTCTCCATGCTGCCCTTCCACAGGTGTGCCCCGCTCCACTTTCCTTGCCTAGAAAGTGCTTACTATTCATTTATCCTATGTGCATGTTCCAAACAAGTTACCCCGCATGCCAGGCACTACTTTAAATGATAGGGATTCAAGGATTGCTAAGACAGGGTCCCTTCTCTAAAAAGACACTAGCACAAAAGCCGATAAACTCAGAACAACTTTGAAGTGCAGAACTGGAGACAAGCGCAGAGGAATCCAGGTCTTGCTCAAATATCACCTACTCCAGGATAGCCTGGGCCCTGCCTGTGTGTTCCCATAACACCTTCAATGAGTCTCTAGTAGAGCTCTTATCATACTGCATTATAGATACGTTTAAACTGGCATCAAAAACAAACATATATTCCTTTCAATATTCCCAAGACTTAGATAGGTCCAGGTACCTGTCAGTAATGGGCGAATGAATAAATGAGTGAATGAATGTCATCATCAGCCCATTCCCTTGTAGATGTTTATATTTGCACATAGACTGGTGTATATCTGTGTTTCCATTAAGTTAACCCTCTTGGTGGGTACTTATTACCTGCCCACCCTGCGTGGGGCCTCCTGCCGTGTCCTTGGTCTGGTAGAGGAATGGACGTGGCTTCTGGCCCATGGCCAGCACAGGGCGGCCGGGCAGACAGGCCCATAAACACACAGCTGCGTCCAGCAGTGTGTGCACCTGACCCTGTGTGGATGTGAGTGTTTTCATTTGAACCATGGCATTTCACTCTTGTCCCTTGAATGATAATTGGAACCATGCCTGGTGAGTCCATCGGACCCAGTCCTCTCGAAGTCATTTCGATGATATGACAATCTGACCTTGAGCAGAAAAGAAATAAAGTGAAAAAAGGCAACGTCTGTCTGTGGAGCTGGAAGTTTGACAGTGGCCCGGGAAAGGAGTAAGGGCAGAAGAGGGAACACCGGCCTTGGCATCTGCTGAAGCCAAACGCTGCCTGGGACATGGAAAGGATGTGGAGGGTGACTGTGAAATTGAACTAAATTGAAAGAGAAGAGGTGTCCACAGCAGGGTGACAAAGCCAGCAAAGAGGCAGTGCCTGGCAGTGGTCAGGCCAGCCTGTGCCGACACCCACTCCCTCTTCTTTCCTCCTGTCTTCTCCACTCTGACACCTCCCAGAGGTGCAGAGACTAAAGGTCTTGCTCCCCCGGCAGGCAGCATGTGGACGGGAAGTGGCATTTGGTGGCGTCCTGATCAGGGGGCGAACACCACCGCTTCCCCAAATTGGTTTTCCGACAGTAAATTATAATTGCTCTAAGTCTTCTAGAACTCAGGGACTGAGATTAATTATGGCTCCGTATCCTATGGCGCTCTGAACTTTAAGCACAGCATGGTGTGCAGGTTGTTAATAAGAAGGAGAATCTGGGAGGACTTTTCAGATGAGCAAATAAAAAGGGAAAACTGTTTGAATTGGATTCTGCATCTGGGAAGGGGGGCCTTTCGGGCTTGGGGGGATGCTTCTCATCTTTCCTGTGTGGCCTGGGACTGTGTTTATGATGATCAGAAGCATAAAACGGCTTCCAGGGAGTGGGCACCAGTGGCAGGCCTTCATCTACCCCACCCAGAATGGGTCCAGCCACCATGCTGGTGACCCTTTACAGGACTCACAAGTCTAGCAGTCATAAACTCAGACGTTAGCAAAGTTGAAAAGGCAAAGTAAGCAAGTGGGACTTGCAGGCCAGGGCTTCTGTAGAGAATGATGAGGCTGGGGATCTAGGAAGTCCATGCCTAAGGGTCAACCTCTACTGGGCTCCAACCAACCCCTGTGGGAATGTGGCCTGTTCTGTTGGGTCTTCAGGAGCAGAGTTCCAATTTTTAATATAAAATCTCTTGATTTTCATAGTTGGAAGCTTATAATTTTTAACACACTCTTAAGGCCAAATATATCTATGCTGGAATTTGGTCCATGTGCCTCCATTGTGAAACCTCTACATCAGAAACAATGTCTTCCTGCAGGTGAGTGGTAGGTTTGGGCCTCTCTCCCTTCCCATCCTTTTGCCTCCTGGCTCCCTGTACATTGTGCATTTCTCTCTGCAACCCTTGCCACTGGCACCAATCTTTTCATCTGTCCCCCAACTTGAAGCCACTGGATTGGCATGGACTATATAGCTCTGTATCCAAAGCAACTAAGAAAAGGTACACTACAAATCAGGGGCTCAAATGATGTTTGTTGAATGAATAAACATCATGCACATTTATACCTCTTGTTCCCTGCTCATTCTCTTCATTCTACATCAACTATCCTTGAGTCAAACTCTGACACGTGGCTCCAGTCCAAGCCAATGTCCCCCTGTTCTTTTTGCCATGTTTCCAGGTGTTGAAGCTGGAGTCAGGCCAAAGAGGGTTAGAAGTAGACAGCATGTAGAGTTCATGGTAGTCACTGTTCAGACAGGCAACTGAATCCTGGAAGGAAGAAACAATTGGCATAAGGTGAGACCATGAGCTGATAGCCAAGCCATGTCTGGAGCTAGGACCGTGTGAGGTCGAAGCCCCTTAGCTCCACCCTGGGCCCAGACTTGCTCTGCCTTTCTCCCTCTCTCTGAGAGCATCACCCAGGCTCTCGGGGGCAAATCCTCCCACCAGCCCCCATCCTGAGGATAGGGCTACAGCAGTACAAGTTCCTCAAATCCCAAGGCTTGAGAGTCACCATCACCTCATCATGCACTCAGCTCAAGGTGTACTGAGAAAGCCATTCATTTAATAGAAAATAGGAATTACCATTTAGAAATTAAAATGAATTTATTTTATTAAAAGATGTTCTGGCACTGGGATCCATCACTGCTCTGTCTCTACTGCTGGCCCTGATTGTAGGGTTGGCAGGGGACACCCTGAGAACATGCTGACCCTGACAACCCAGTGCCTGACTAAGGCATGACCATGACCCCACCCCTTCCCAGGGCCACTACCTGTTGTGGCCGTGGCATTCAGGTACAAGAAGGAGATTGGAGGAAACAGTACATTTGTGCTAGGGGTTGGCTGGCCTCCTCTCCTGCCTCCTTTTTCCAGCCAGAAACTCAGAGAAGGAACTATCAAGTGGGAAATCGAGGCAAGAGCGTGTAGAAGTCAAGAATGTGGGCTTTGGAGTAAGACATGGATTTGAGTTCAAGCTCCGGTGTTTGTCCATGTGTGACCTTGTACCAGCCCTTGTTTTTTTTGTTTGTTTGTTTGTTTTGAGACAGAGTCTCACTCTGTCCCCGAGGCTGGAGGGCAGTGGCACAATCTTAGCTCACTGCAAGCTCCACCTCCCAGGATCTCGCTATTCTCCTGCCTCAGCCTCCCGAGTAGCTGGGATTACAGGTACCCGCCACCGCCTGGCTAATTTTTTGTATTTTTAGTAAAGACGGGGTTTCACCATGTTAGCCAAGATGGTCTCGATCTCCTGACTTCATGATCTGCCCGCCTCGGCCTCCCAAAGTGCTGGGATTACAGGCATGAGCCACCGCGCCTGGCCTGTACCAGCCTTTCTATCTCTCTGCTTCAGTTTCAATCTCTACAAAATGGGGAGATGGGAAGAGAATACACACCACTATATTTCCAGGTAGGAGCACTCTAAATGCCCTACACACTTTAGATTGTTTAATCCTCATAATAACCTTATGAGACAGGCACTCTTATTATAGGCTCTCTTTACAGATAGAGAAACCAAGGCACAGAGCGGTGAATTGACTTATACAAAGTAACACAGCCAGTAAATACTGGCAGGGATTCAGACATAGCTACACATAACTCTAAAGCCCATGTTCATTTTTTCTTAATTAAAAACAAATTAAGAACCACAAACATGCTTCAAAACTCACGAAAGTTCCTTAGGAGTGGGTCTGAAAGAAATAAACCAGAAAGTATCAAAGATATACAGAGAAAATCCTCCTTCTCAACATCAGCCTATACTTGCAACCAGTCTCCTCTCTCAATAACTATTGTTCATCTATTTTAACTTCCAGAGTTTCTTTAGGGGTATGGAAGTAAATATAAGTACAAATTCTTACCCTGCTTTTTTATATAAAAAGTCAGATATTATATACATTGTTCTGCATCTTGGTTTTTTTTTTTAATTTTAGACACACATTGAAGTTACAAAAATAGTACAGAGCATTCCCATGTACCTTTGAAAATTTCCCCAGTGACAGCATATTATATAATCATAGTACAATGAGCAACACCAGGAAATTGACAATGGTACAATTAACTACAGACTTTGTTTGGATTTTACTTGCACTAACTTTGGGGGAATTTTGTGAATAACTCTATGAAGTTCTATCACATGTAGAGAATCATGTAGCTACCACCTCAATCAGGATTCAGAACTATTCCATCACCACAATGAAAATCCCATGTGCCACTTCTTAATATATTGTCACATCCTATGTCAGCCCTAACCCCTGGCCATCACGGGTCTGTTCTCCATCACCACAACTTTGTCTCTTCAGGAATGCAATATACAGGGAATCACGCAGTATGTAACTTTAGGACTGGCTTTGTTCACTTCGCATAACGCCCTTGAGATACATATTGCATATGTCAATACTTCATTCCTTTTTATTGCTGAGTGGTGTTACATTGTATAAATATAGCACAGTTTGTTTATCTATTTTCTGTTGGGAGAACTTTGGGTTGTCTCCATTTTGTGCTGTTAAAAATAAAGGTGTTATGAACATTTGCGTACAGATTTTTCTATGGCCTTAAGTTTTTCTTTACTTTGAAGTGACCCAGGAGTTGAATGGCTGAGTCATATGGTCCTAGATGTTTAACTTTAAATGGAACTATCAAAATGTGTTCCAGAGTGGCCATCCCATTTTCCACTCCCACAAGAAAAGCATGGCAGCTCCTGTTGCTCTTCATCCTCCCCAGCACGTGGTATTGTCAGGATTTTTTTT
Source organism: Homo sapiens (assembly GCF_000001405.40). Taxonomy (NCBI): domain Eukaryota; kingdom Metazoa; phylum Chordata; class Mammalia; order Primates; family Hominidae; genus Homo; species Homo sapiens. The sequence goes on from NC_000010.11 coordinate 78,873,987, forward strand.
TAACTCACTCTAACAGTAGTGCAGTGTGATGGTTAATATTGAGTGTTAACTTGAATGGATTGAAGGAGGCAAAGTATTGTTCTCGGGTGTGTCTGTGAAGGTGTTGCCAAAGGAGATTAATATTTGAGTCAGTGGACTGGGAGAGGCAGACCCACCCTCAATCTGAGTGGGCACCATCCAATCAGCTGCCAGCGCAGCCAGAATAAAGCAGGCAGAAAAAGTTGCAAAGAGCAGACTTGCTGAGTCTTCCCACCCTCAACTTCCTCCCGTGCTGGATGCTTCCTGCCTTCAAACATCAGACCCCAAGTTCTTCAGCTTTTGGACTCTTGGGCTTACACCAGTGGTTTGCCAGGGGCTCTCGGGCCTTCGGCCACAGACTGAAGGCTACACTGTCGGGTTCCCTACTTTTGAGGCTTTGGAACTCGAACTGGCTTCCTTGATCCTCAATTTGCAAATGGCATATTGTGGGACTTCACCTTGTGATCGTGTGAGTCAATTCTCCTAATAAACTCTCCTTCATATATACAGCTATCCTATTAGTTCTGTTCCTTTCAAGAACCCTGACTAATACATACAGTCATATCTCATCACGCACTATACTTTTTTAACTTAACAAAGCAGATTGGAGCTCTTTCTATATCGGACTAGAAAGCAACTCATTCTTTATTTTCTGCAGCTGCATCAGAGTTCCTTGTATGAATAAATGCCAATATTTTTGTAAGTGATCTCCATTTGGTCAACATTTGGGTATTTTCAATCATTGCTGCTCAGATGTTTGACGCCTAATTCTCAACCACCACATTCGACTGCCTTTGCAAATACCAAAGACACTATGCATGGACATCTTGTCTCCCTTCAGCAAAGGATTTTATTAATGATTCATTTGACTGCAAGTGAAGGAAACCTAACTTGAACTAGCTTAAATTGAAAGACAGAAGTGATTGGATCATAGATTGTAGAGTTGGACAACAAAGCTATAGGAAAGGTCAGAAGACTGAGAACTGGAGCCCCAAATGCACTAGGCATCTCTCCACCTCCCTCATCTCTCTTCTCTTCGTGTGGCCTATTCTTCCTCAGTAAAGACTCACCCTCTCCCCAAGACAGCAAGCATGACCTCCCCCAGCTCCCAAGTGTCACATCTTACAGCTCAGTGCCCTGCAGAGGAGCTGCCTCTCTTTTCAAGTCCTAAGACCAAGGTGTCAGAGAAGGTTTCTGGCCCAGTTTGATGCTGGCCATCTTACGTTTACAGTTAGGATTATGGTTAGGGTTCAAGTTAGGGTTAGAGTTAGGGTTAGGGTTAAGAGTTCCTGAGATAACTGTCTGTGAAATTGATGGGGGCAGGGGGAGTGGAGGGAGGTTAAGGGGACTGGGGAATGAACCCAAAGATGCAAAGAGTTCTCTCTTGAGCATAGACCTCATCAGATTCATCCCCACATCACCCAGCACAATTAGCCACACTCAGCACACATTAGGCACTACAAGCATACAGCTGGTTCTGGACAGGATATGTGTCAATCAATCAAGCATTCTAGCAAATTGCCTCTTATTTCTTCACATGCTGGGGGAACCCACCATTTCAAATAACCCTGTTAAATTCCTCTGTGAAGCAGGCTTTCTTTAGCTAAATGCTCACAGCAGGATTTGCTTAAAATGGGGCATGCCTGTAGTCTCAGTTCCTGGGGGAAACCTTTGATTTGCCTGACAACCCACTGAGATAGGCAAGGATGCTACAAGGGCAAATGGTTAGTGGCTGTGAAAGCTTTCCATGACCTTTAAGTGGTATAGAAATGTGGGACCTCACCGTGACTATTATGATTATCCTTATTTCGTCTCTTCTTTGAAGAGCTTTACACTGTAATTTTGGAAGTGGAATTGGAGACACTTCTCCAACAATTCAACCTCATACTACTCCACCAGAGCTCAGTCCTGGGTCTCAGAGCATCATTTCTCACTGGCCTATCGCTTCTATTAAATGCAACATAAAGAGGTTTCCACAGCCAGAGGCCTTCTTGGATGGGAATAAAGGCAGGCACCAAGGCAGGGGCTTCTGAGGAACGTTTAAGCATCACTAAACTACTCCCAGCATAGCCCTTTCTACCCCAAACGTAGTGCTTCCTGGGACACCTAACTCTATGCACAGCCCTGAGCTGGATGCTGGTTTCCCAGGAAGCTCACAGTTTGGGGGGAGGCAGTACATCTAGCTGTCTGTGACTCCAGGCAGCAGAGGGACGGAGAATCCCCAGGGCAGGGGACTAGGAAGATGCTGTGGAAAGGACCCCAGGTCTGACCTTGGGAGAAAGGTGATGAGCAATCTAATGATGCAGCCAACCCTGGCAATCTCAAGCCTTCCCCAACTAACACCTGGTTTCTAGGCCTCTTGCAGCTGCACAAGGGTCCTCATCGTTTTTCCCCAAAATTATTTTTCTTCCCTACCTTTTTTCTCCCTTTCTTCAGATTCTCTCTCCTTACTTCCTGGTTTCTCTCCCTGCCTTCAAAGTCCACCTCTATCCCAACCACTCTCTCATACTCGGTCTTCTGCAGAGACCCCTCCCCTCTGTCTTCACTTGCTCTGCTGGGCCACAATAAAATGTACTTAGCTCATAGAGCTTTTGTCATAAATCTGTCTCTCTGGAGGCTCAATCATTTTTATTGCTCTACTGTGAACATCCTGTCATTCTTCTCCATGTTTCAGACATTGGCAAGCTTGGAACTCACAGCATTTTTCCCGGATACTTCTCACTGGAGACCTGCCGATTGCTTTCTGCCTTTGCACTGTGAGGCCTCCCCAGACAATTATCTTAATCCCATCATGACTTTGGCAGTCACCCCAAAAAAGCAGTTAGGGTCAAAATCCGTATTATTAACTGGGAGTCTCTTGGGACCTTAGCACTCCCATCCTTCCTTCCTCCTCATTCCCATTGCCAGCAGGTCTCCAGGAGCCCAAGAAACCATGGCTGAACAAAAAATGGTGTGGATGGCCACTCTGAAGCCCCTCACCCCAGAGGGGGCTGAGACTCTAATATGTCAGAGAAAATGCTGCACTGGAGTCAAGAGGCTTTGCAATACTTACGATACATAAAAACGTTGGAGAATAGGCAATAGTGATCAAAAGGAAATGAAACCTTTTGGGGGTGGGTTATATATGACAATTGTAAATACACATGGATTGTCTGAAGTCCATGAACTCAATGGAAAGAATACAGGTCATTAGGGCCTTGAGGATGTGCCAACAAAAGGGGGAAAAGGAAAAGTGGGTCTGACTGTTTTTATTCTTGCCATCTCAGGACTGAAGTGGGCTGTGAACCCATTGGACACAAGGATTCCAATATAGGTTTGTCTGTTCCTGTACCTTTCCCATTTCCCTGTTTTATAATAAACTATCAGATGAGAAAAACTACACATAAATGCGGTTATTCAAACTTGGATGAGAACCAACTATGGTCTAATTAGTTCTACCTTAGAGAAAAGTCCAGGGAAGAGTTTGGGAAAGATTTGTGCTATGGACAAAGAAGGAAGTCAAATAAAAGTATGTAGGAGTTCGTCAGGCCTAAATGAAATCTTTGCACTCCAGAGACCATGGTTTTACCCACTAACTTGGATTGAAATTAGCCTAGATTATAAGTCATGTGGTCACACATCCACACTGTCCTGCCCATTCTACTGATTGGCATCACTGCCTGGGAGAACCTTGGTCCAGGAGGCCAGTATCAGTCAGCTTAGTTGCAGAACTCTTTTATCAGTTTGATGCTTAGATGCCCTATCTGCCGACTTATTGCCAAAGAGGGTTGGACTCTCCTGGAGGGGGATTAGTTGGAGTAGAGCAGGGAGTAAATACGTACAATTCACTTATTCCTTCAAATCATTATGGAGAATCTACTGTGTGCCACTCACTATTCTAGGAATGAGGGATACAAAAGTGAGCAAAACTAACACACTTACAAAAAATCCCTGCTTTCATGGTGTTTAGTTCCCAGGATATTTTCTTTTTTTTTTTTTATTTTTTTGAGATGGAGTCTCTCCCTGTCACCCAGGCTGGAGTGCTGTGGCACAATCTCGGCTCACTGCAGCCTCCGCCTCCCTCCTGGTTCAAGCAATTCTCCTGCCTCAGCCTCCCAAGTAGCTGGGACTACAGGTGCGCGCCACTGTGCCCGGCTAATATTTGTATTTTTAGTTGAGACAAGGTTTCACCATATCGGCCAGGTTGGTCTCAAACTCCTGACCTCGTGATCCACCCGCCTCAGCCTCCCAAAGTGCTGGGATTACAGGCGTGAGCCACCGCGCCCGGCCAGTTCCCAGGATATTTTCTAAAATCAGATGACCCCCAAAGGTAAAATTGAAAGTTTGTTCTTCCTTATATCTGTTCCTCTCCCTTTGCACTCCCAGCTATAGAATCATTGATACAATACAACACCAAACCCTTAAAATGTAATTCAAAGTAAAAGATAAATAGGTTTTAGCAAAAGTGGGGACACTGTTCAGTCAAATCCACTCACTATTTCTTTTTTTTTTTTGAGACGGAGTCTCACTTTGTTGCCCAGGCTGGAGTGCACTGGCACAATCTCAGCTCACTGCAACCTCCACATCCCAGGCTCAAGCAATTCTCCCTGCCTCAGCCTCCCGAGTAGCTGGGACTACAGGCGCCTGCCACCACATGTGGCTAATTCTTTTAGTAAAGATGGGGTTTCACCATGTTGACCAAGCTGGTCTTGAACTCCTAACCTCAGGTGATCCACCCTCCTTGACTCCCAAAGTGCTGGGATTACAGGCGTGAGCCACCATGCCTGGCCCCACTCAGTATTTCATAGTGAAGAACTAAACAGCAGTTTCTGTTAGGTATAAACAAGATTAAATCAATTAGCACAATAACCATGCAAATATTTTCAGAAAAGAAAAGAACAAACCAAATTTTAAAAACTCCAGTCTGGAGGAAAATAAATTAAAATTCAAATAACAGAGAACATTTCCCCCATTATGATGAAGCCTAATTTTAAAAAAAAAACAAATAAGTGTATCAAAATAAGGGCCTAAAGACAAGATGATAAAGCAATAGAACAACAACTACTACTTCCAGCCAAAATGAAAGCACAGGGAATAGATTTATCCTCCTACCTGAAATAACCAAAAAATAAATAAATAAAATATATGAAACAATGGTTTTCAAGACATGGGACAGGTGACAAAGGACAGTCATTCCTAAAAGATGGGGAACAAATAAGATGAGTCTTACAATTGCCCCAGGATACTGCCTGGAGAGAGATTCCAGGCCTGGAAATAGTTCCTGTCCTTACCAGTCAGAACTCACAAGTCTGACTTCTGACTTAAATAGAGTACTTAAAAAGGATTCTGCTTTATTATTTGGGCAAAATTAGCTTAAGACTAAATGTTGCTCTGGTCATACCTAACAAAGCTTAGAAGCAAGACCTGATAGGATTGAGTTTCGAAAACACTCAGCTGCATTTCAGAACAACGTTCAATAGTATACGTAGGAATATAAAACTATGTGGCACTCAATAAGATAAAGTTTAAAAGGTCTAGAAACTGATCAAAAATTGTCAAAGAAGCCAGTGAAAGAAATCCATATTAAAGAGAAAATTTGATCAATCAGAACTGATCTAGAAATGATACAGATAATAGAATTTGTATATAAGAACATGAAAGCAGTAATTATAACTGTATTCTGTGTGTTCAAGAAACTGAAGTAAAAAGATATGGAGACTGGTGATATTTTTAAAAAAGACCAAAATCAGACTTCTAGAGATAAAAACTACAATGTCTAAAATGAAAAGTACATTAGATGAGATTAACAGCAGATAAATCATCACAAGAAAAAGCTCCATAAACTTTAAAATATAGAAATAGAACCTATTCAAACTTAAACACGAAGAAATAATACTAAAAAAATATATAAGGCGTGACTAAGCCGTGGGACAAACTCAAGCAACCTAGTAGATGTGTAATTGGACTCTGATAAGGAAGTAGAAGGGAGTATTTGAAGAGTCAATAATGGCCACAACATAGATACATTTGACAAAAACTATAATCACACAATTCAAGAAGTTCAACAAACTCCAAGCACAGAAAACATGAAGAAAAATACACCAAGCTGCATGGTAATAAAATTGCTTAAAATCAGTGATAAAGAGAAATTCTAAAAGCAGCCAGATATGAGGCAAGAGTACATTATTTATAGAGAAATAAAGAAAATGACAGATTTCTTATATGAAACAATGTGAACCAAAAGAGATGGAGCAACATCTTTAAAGTACTGAAAAAAGGAACTGCCAATTTATAATTCTACACTGCAAAATTATCCTTTGAAAGGAAGACAAAGTAAAGACTTTTTCAGACAAACAAAAGCAGAAGGATTCATCACAATTTGATGTTTCTACAGCATATAGGGAGAAAAAAACCATTCAGGCAGAAGGAAAATGACACCATAAAGAAATTGTGATCTGCACAAAGAAATAAAGTGTACTGGAAATGATAAATGATAACTAATATTTTTTCTAATAATAAAATACTTTCTTCTCATTATTTAAATCTATTTAGAAGACAATTGACTGTTAAAACAGAACTAATCACAATGTATTATGTGATAAGTTACAGATGTGTATACTACAAACCCTAAAAGCAAGAATAAAGCAAGACTGAAATAACAAAATAAGTAGATAAAGAGGCATGGGTAATAAGGCAACAAGGTGATAAAATAAAATAATAAAAATGCTCAGTTAATTCAGAAGAAGGCAGATAAAAAGATTTTGAAAAAGAATAAAATAGGAGAAATCACTCATCAGATGTTAAGATTTGTTATCTCACTAAATTAAGATAGTGGGTACCGGCAGAGAGATGGACACATGGATCAATGGAATGAGGAATTAAAAAATAGAGCCACGCGTATACATCCAGCTAATTTTATTTATTTATTTTTTTTTGAGATGGAGTCTCACTCTGTTGCCCAGGCTGGAGTCCAGTGGTGCAATCTCGGCTCACCACAACCTCCGCCTCCCAGGTTCAAGCAATTCTCCTGCCTCAGCCTCCTGAGTAGCTGGGATTACAGGCACACATCACCATGCTCGGCTAATTTTTGTATTTTTAGTAGAGACGGGGTTTCACCATGTTGGTCAGTCTGGTCTTGAACTCCTGACCTTGTGATCTGCTTGTCTCAGCCTCCCAAAGTGCTGGGATTATAGGTGTGAGCCACCGCACTCAGCCTATGTCCAACTAATTTTTGACAAAACTGAAAGAGCAATGCAATAGGGGAGGAATAGCCTTTTAGACAAATGCACCTGGAGCAACTGACATTTCTGGGCAAAATAAATAAATAAATAAATAAATATTTAAAAATAAAACTGAACCTGAATCTCACATCCTTTATAAAAATTAACTCAAAATAGAATACAGATTTACATATGAAATGTAAAACTGTAAACCTTTAGGGAAAAAAACACAGGAGGCAATCTTCAGCATGTAGAATTAAGTAATATGTTTTTAGACTTGACACCAAAAGCATGATCCATAGAAAATATTGATAAGTTGGATTTTACCAAAATTTCAAAACTTTTTCTCTGTGAAAGACATTGTAATGACAATAAAAATACAAATTACACACTGGGAGAAAATATTTACAAATTGCACATACAACAAAGAACTTGTATCTAAAATGTGTAAAGAACCCTCAAAGCCCAATATTTTTTAAAAATCTACTTAGAAAATAGACCCTCCAAAAAATGATCAGATATCTTATTGAAGAGGATATATGAATGGTTAATAGACACATGAAGAAATGTTTCACATGATTAGCCATTGGGGAAATGTAAATAAAAACCATGAGATATTACTACCTACCTACTAGAATGGCTATAATAAAAAATTAGTGATAACGCAAAATGTTAATGAGCGTATAGAGAAACTAAACAGTGCTTTTATTGCTGATGGCAGTGTAAAATGATACAGCCACCCTGGAAAAACAGTTTAGTCTTTTCTTTCAAAACCAAATAAGGGTTACCATACAACACAGCAATTGCATTCTTGGGCAATTTCATCCCAGAGCAATGGGAACTTATCCCACAGAAACCAGTACACAAATGTTTGTGGCAGCTTTAATCATAATAGGCAAAACCTTTAAAACTCAAGTGTCCTTCAGTAGGTGAGTGATCAACAAACTGTGGTACATCCATACCATGGAATATTACACAGCAAATAAATAAATATAAAGAAATTTGTTAAAACTTTTAACAGTAAGAAACTAGGAATGCAAAAAACAACTTGAATGAAATTCAGAAAAATTATATTGATGAAAAAAGCCAATCTCATGGGGATAGGTACTGTCTGACTCCATTTGTATGACATTTATAAAATATCATCATTGTAGAAACAGAGAACAGATTAATGGCTGTTGGGGGTTAAGGGTGAGGGGAAGGGCAGGGCGTGGCTGTAGATGAGTAACATAAGGGGAGCTCGTGGTCATGATACAGTTGTATGTTTTGATTGTGGCAGCAGTTGCATGAAGCAACACGTGATAAAATTGCATAGAGGCACACACACACACACATGAGTGCATGTATAAATGGTAAAATTTGAATGAATTCTAAATCATACCAAGGTCAATTTCCTGGTTTCAATATTATACTATTCAAGATTCTATATTAATATTCAAGATAGTAACATTGAGGGAGACTGAGTGGAGGATGCAGGGATCTCCTTGTACATTTCTTTGTAACTTCCTGTGAATCTGTTTATTTCAAAATAAAATTTAAAAGGAAAAAAAGAGTAAAGCGGGGGAAAGAACAGATGGGATGAATAGACTGTAAAGAGGAAGACAGTTGATTCAAACCCAACCATGTCAGTAATCACATTATGTGCAAAAGGTCTAAACTCTCCAGATAAAGAGAAATTGTCAGACTCAATGAAAAAAAGCAAGATCCAATATATGCTACCTACAAGAAATCCACTTTACATATAAAGACATAAATAAGTTAAAAATAAAAGGATAAAAACAAACACTAGTCGTAAGAAAGTTGAAGTGACTCTATTAAAATCAGACAAAATAGATTTCAGAGCAAAGAATGCTACCAAAGAAAAGAGGATCATGTCTTAATGATGACAGGGTCAATTAATCAAAAGGACATACAAATTCTAAACACTTACACACATAATAACAGAGCTTCAAATATGAAGCACAGACTGATAGACCTTCCAGAGAAATAAACAAATCTGCAATTATAGTCAGAAATTTTATACTGTCTCAATAGTTAGTAGAACAAGTACACATAAAACTAACAGAGAGAGAAGACACTGAAAATATTATCAACTAACTTGACCTTATGACATTTAAAGAACACTCCACCAACAGAAGAATGCTCATTCTTTTCAAGTACGTATAAAACACTTACCAATACAGACCCTATTCTGGACCAAAAAATGTCTCAATAAATTTTAAAGGATTTAAAGTATGTTTTATGGTTACAATGGAATTAAATAAGAAACAGGCTACAGAAATATCTAAAAATCCCCCAATATACTGAAATTAAATAATGCATTTTAAAACGATCTATTGGTCTAAGAACAAAAGAAAATTAGTAAGATGAGAATAAAAACACAAACTTCCAGAAAATTGAAGAAAGAACCCTTAAAATGACATTTCTAGAAAATAAAATGATACATTATTATCTTTTATGAACATAAATGCAAAACTTTATAACAAAAATTTTATCAAACTGAATCCAATAATATGCAAAAGGGATCACGCATCACGATTGGTGAGGTTTATGCCAGGAATGCAAAGTTGGTTTAACATTTAAAAAGCAATCACCAGGTTAACAAACTGAAAAGAAAAAAGAAAAAAACAGTATCATCTCAATACATACAGAAAAGATATTGACTAAATGCAATATCCATACCTGATAAAAATCTATAGCAAAGTATCAACAGGAGGGGATATCCTCAACCTGACAAAAAGCATCAACAAAAAAACTTACTGCTAACACTATACTAAGTGGTGCAAGACTGAATGCTTCCCCTTAAAACCAGGAACAAGTTGAGATTTTCCGCTTTCATTGCTTTCTTTCAATATTGTCCTATAGGTTCTCATCAATGCAATAAGGCAAAAAAAGAAAAGAAATAAATGGCATCTAGATTGGAAAGGAAGAAGCAAAACTGTCATTAAGTGAAGATGACTTAACAGTCTATGTAGAAAATCTGGTAGAAAGAAAACCTACTAGAACGAATAAGTGAATTTAGTTACAAAATATAAGACCAATGTTCAAAATTCAATGTATTTCTATTTACTAACAACAAACAATAGAAAATAGAAGTTTAAAAATATTATTTGTAATAACAAAAAATATGAAATGTTTAGAGAAAAAATCTGAGGAATTGTGCAAAACATATATAAACTGAAAGCTACAAACATTGCTGAGAGAAATTAAAGGAGACAAATAAATGCAGAAAGACACTTACCAAAGGAGATACATGAGGGGCTACTATGCACATGAAAAGATGCTCAGCACCATTAGAGAAACTCAAATTAAAACCACAATGAGATACAACTACACACCTATTCAAACATCCATAATTGAAAAGATTGACCATATCAAGTATTGGCAAGAATGTGAAGTAAAAAAATCTCAAACGCTACCAGTAGGAAGGTAAAATGGTACTTCCACTTTTAAAAACAGTTTGGAAGTTTCTTAGAAAAGTTAAATATATATCCACTATATGACCTAGCCATTCCACTCCTAGGCGTTTCCCAGGGGAAGTGAAACTTTATATCCATACAAATAATTATACATTAAAGTTTGCAGCAATTTTACTTATAATAACCCAAAATTATAAACAATCCAAATGTCCACCAACAGGTGAATATATAAGCAAATTGTGGTATATCCATATGATGGAATACTATTTAGCAATAAAGAGGGATGAGGCTGGGTGTGGTGGCTCATGCCTCTAATCCCAGCTCTTTAGGAGGCTGAGGTGGGTGGATCACCTGACGTCAGGAGTTTGAGACCAGCCTGACCAATTTGGAGAAACCCCGTCTCTATTAAAAATATAAAATAATTAGCTGGGTGTGGAGGCACATGCCTGTAATCCCAGCTACTCAGGAGGCTGAGGCAGGAGAATCACTTGAACCCAGGAGGTGGAGGTTGCGGTGAGCTGAGATTGCGCCATTGCACTCCAGCCAACAAGAGCGAAACTCCGCCTCAAAAAATAAAAAAGGGATGAATTATTGAAACACACAGTAACATGGATGAATCTCAAAATAATTATGCTCAGTGAAAGAAGCCAGACCTCCCTCCACCAACTATATGTACGTGATTGGGGGTGGTGATGGGGGAAGAGAATAATTCCATTTCTATAAAACTCTAACCTATAGTAACAGAAATCAGATTCACGGTTGCCTGAGGGGAGGGCTAGTGGAAGGGAGGAGCAAGAAGGCGGGATTATCAGGAAGCACAAGGAGACTTTGGGGAGCACTGCATATGTTCATTACATCAATTGATTTATTGTTTTTATGAGGTATTCGTATGCCAAAGTTTATCAATTTGTCACTTTAAATCCATACAGCTGTTTGTATGTCAATTATATCTCTATAAAGCTATTTTTAAAAGCAAAGAGCAATAGGAAAAGGGAGCTCCAGAGCCAACAAAACAAAATGAGAGCAAACAATATAATAATGTTAGTGAATCAATAAATAAATCATAAAAAATTAAGAACGTAATAAACATAGATGAAAAATTAATTCCTGAGGTCAGGGAAAGATTTGAAAATATGCCACCAAGTTGTACAACACCAGGGAGCCCCATTCACATCATCTTAGCCCCTAATGTGAACAGAGCACACTGGGGTTACACAGCCCACAGCCCTCACGTCCCTATGCGACACCTCTGCTGCAGATGAGCACAGTGAAGGCACAGGACAAACACAAGAAGGTCAAAGAACATAGTGGGATGTTCATGGATTTGGAGGACAAAATTGACCTTCTATTAAAATAACTGATGCTTTCATACTAGAAAGCATAATAGATGAAACAGAAATATAATAAAGATAGAAATCTTAAATTCATGAAAAGAGAAATAATGGGATTTGCTGATTAAAAAGCACACTGTTCCCAAGGGGCTTGGGAATGGGAGGCAGGGAGATGGTACAGAAAAATCAACATCAAGACATAACCTAGTAATACTGTTGAACTTTAAGAACAAGGAAATAACTCTTCAGGAGTCAGAGTAGAAAAGGAAGTGATCAGTAAACCAAGCTGTACTCAGAATCTTTGGTAACAATTCCAGAAGACAGTGGAGGAATATATTCAAAATTCTGATGGAAAGAAAATGTATACCAATATTATTATACCCAGCCAAGATGTCATTCAAGAATAGAGGCCACTGAAAGATATCTCTACATATGAAAAAATTGAAGGAATTATAGTACTCATGATCTCTTGCAGAAAAGCTATTTGTTGATGAAATTCAGCTAGTAGTGGTAGAAATTCAGTGGTAGAGACTATTGTCCCCCCAGTGGGTGTTTCCTTCTTCTTCAGTCACAAGAACTCTGATATTTTCCTGGGCTCATTCTCACCCACCTATAAGACCACCTTCCATAGCCTCCCTTGCAATTAGCTATGGTCAAGTAATGAAGTCTTAGCCAATGGTGTGTAAGCAGAAGTTATGTATGCCACCAGCAGGAAGTCTAATTAAAAGGAAGGAAGCTTTCATCCATCCTGTTGCCTACAAGGCAGATGGGATGGGTAGAGTTTTAGCACCATCCATCTTAAACCATGAGAACAAAGCCTGAACCAAACGTTGGTAGAGAAGTTAACTAAAAGGAATTAGACTGTCAGGTGATTTTGTGGATCTTCCAAACCTTCCCTAGACTGCTACCTCCAAACTTATTTTATGGGAAAAAGAAATAAGCTTTTATTTGGCTGAAGCCACCATTTGTTGTTGTTAGACACAGTGGAATCAAACTCTGACCAATACATCAGTCAACTAACAGATACATCGAAACAAACTTTACATGGGTCTAGTGAAGGAAGCTGTGGATGAGAAGGACTAGTTTTAAGCTGAGTCTATTAAATTTTTCCCTAAGACTTAAAAACAGACATAATTGTGCCTACAGAAGAGATAGAGATGTTATACAGTCTAAAATGTAAAAATAATAATATAAGTAACAACATCAGCAATGAGAAGAGAGAGATGGGAGAAGTGTAGGGGTGCTGTCCTCATCTTTCTGAGCAGGACATCAATAAATACTGTATAAATTTAAAATATGTCATTTAAAACTGGCTACTGGCTCCAACCTCCTCATATTTTCTGTAATCCCTTAGAGGGAATCTGTTAGAAAATAATACCATCTTGTGCTGAAGAAATATTTATCTAAATAGATCATTCCTTCCATTTCACTTTAGTTTCTTTTTCTTCCTTTAAGTGAAAATAAAATTTAATTTTAAAACTTTATATTAAGTATCTCAGGTTATATAACTCCACCTATATGTTCGTGTCTATATAGACTTCTATCAGGATATGCATATGGGTTGATTTCTGGGGATCACATCTTGTGGGGATTATCTTTTTCTTAGTAGTCTTTTTAATTTCTTGAATTCTTTATAATGAGCATGTTTTATGTTTTTTTTAACATCAATGGGTTTAAAGTGAATATTCTGCTTTACTCATCTAATAAAATTACCCCAGGCATCCTTCAAAGTCACTGATTAATATTTCATAGCTGGGTGTACTTTTTATTTAAACATGCCCTTATACACGAACATTCAGGTTTTTTAAACATCTTACCTCACTTTCTTACATCATGATTTCCTGATGTAAGATTTGCAAAATCTAGATTTCTAAAAACAGGCTTTTTGATTATAATTGTATGTCAATTTTATCTCTATAAAGCTATTTTTAAACATATCCTTGTACATGAACACTCAGGTTTTTTAAACACTTAAATGTTAATAGTGAAAAGATTGTGCCCTAATTACACATCTACCCAGCATGTATAAGAGTGCACACTTTCCCTCAACAGGAATGAATGCTACCAACACTTTTAGATTTTTGTCCATGTGGTTTAAAAACTGATATTTTGTTATTTTAATTTTAATTTCCTTGATTATTTGTTATGATGGCTTTTTTTTTTCCAAGTTATTGGTTATTTGAGGCTTTCCCTTGTCCATTTAGCGCCTAGGTTATTTGTCTTTTTCCAATCAATTTGTAAAAAGCTTCTTCTAGAGAAAGGCTATCAATTTTTTGTAATATATGTTATAAATCTCTACTTCCAACATCTATCATATGTCTTTTGACTTTGCTTATGATATCTATTTCCAGACATAAGTGTTTAATTTTTATGTGGCATATATTACTCCTTTCATAATAGTGAGGTCATTTTTCTAATGCTCAAAACAAAGAAAAAAAAAAGCAATGTCCCTGCTCCATTGCATTCCCCCCACCCCACCCTTAATTGTTTTTTTTTGTTGTTGTTGTTTTTTTCTTGAGACAGGGTCTCACTCCATCACCCGGCTGGAATGCAGTGGCACGATCTTGGCTTGCTGCAACTTCCACCTCCTGAGTTCAAGCAATTCTCGTGCCTCAGCCTCCCAAGTAGCTAGGATTACAGTCATGTGCTACCATGCCTGGCTAATTTTTTTGTATTTTTAGTAGAGACAGGGTTTCGCTGTGTTGGTCAGGCTGGTCTCGAACTGCTGGCCTCAAGTTATCTGCCAACCTTGGCCTCCCAAAGTGCTGGGATTACAGGTGTGAGCCACTGCGCCCGGCCCCACCCTTAGCTTTTAATGTCCTCACTTCCCAGTGCTTAGTAAGCCCTTAGAGATGACCCCACACACAGCAGTAGTGAGGCTGTCCCATCCTGCTGGGGACACTGGATCCCTCACAAGGGCAATCTGCTCATAGTTACTGTCTCCTACACATCAGGTTGCCTCTTGTCTCTGAGCTTTGCCCCAGCTATTCCCCAGTCTTGGCCAAAGTCCACTTTAGCCTAAGGCTCTGTCCTCTAGGGAGGCTTCCCTGAATACCACCTACCTGTACACCAGGCTAGAGGACTTTCTCCTGGGATTCATCATCTTCTGCCTGCTGGTGTCCAGCTAGTGTGCACCTGGAAGCCCCCTGATGCATTGATTGGTCACAACCTGTGCCTTACCTGCTGTTATTTATTTGTAATATCACTCCTGACCAGAGCGCATCTCTACTACCCTCATTATAATATTCTTTAGTTATCCGTCTCTAGTCACTGTGCCCTGGACCACCAGCTTCTTGAAGGCAGAGTTCTGTCTTGTTCTTCTTTGTGTGTCTAACTGCAGCACAGTGAGATGAAAGGATGAATGAAAGAGGAAAGTCCCCCGGAGGTTGTGACACAGGTATGTCTGGAAAGATTCAGTGAAGGGCAGAGCTGGGACAAGGTGGCTTCTGAAAATTAGTGACAAATATACTTGATGTCTTTAAAAACCCTTACTTTACCTTCCCAGCACCTCTATTTGCAAACACTTCACCATAAAAATAAACAAGACAAAAAACCAAAATAAGACACACACAGGTCATTGTTTCTCCTTTCTAGAATCATGTATGTTCTCAGCTATTCTTATTTTTCAAGTCACTCTCAATTTATCACACCTTTGGAGATCCTGAAGACCACCATGAAAGGACAATATAACCATTGCACAGAAGAGAAGACTAAGCCTGGGAGAGGCCCGAGAAGTGACCAGGACCCTGAGATCTGGCATAATAAATCATAGGCTCGGGATCTGGAAACGACTCGAAGGCAGCTTCTTGTCCAACGCTGTGCCTTCAGATGGATAAGGTACCGGATCTCAAAAGACCATCCCATAATAGCCTCCCCATTTTCTGGTTTGATATTTCAAGTACCTTGGGATACGAGATGCCAGCAATCAGATATGCTCCAGTAATCAGAAGCAAATAGTTCTGCCTGGGAACTTTCAGCAGATTGCCAAATGCCTCCTAATCTGGCCACCTTAATATAAATTGCCCTAAAATATTATTTTCTGAATACACAGTATCCAATAACAAATAGTATCTTTTTGTGAAATTAATTTCAATTTAGCTTTAACTAATACTAAATTGCTATGGAATTACATATTACATACACATTACTACAGAAAGAAGTTCATCATGATTAATGTTATTACAGTGAACACCAAAGGAATTAATAATGATTTGCAGTTATTATAAAGCGGTACTGGTGTAGGAAAAAAGGTTAAGTCTAATTAAATTCTGGCAACCACTTTAGGACTCTGCAGCAATGAGGATGCTGGGTTTTATGTTAATTAATTCTATATGAAAGGTTACTGAAGTGTTTTAATATTGTTCAAAGAGCCACATTTTTACTACCAGTGTGTGTGGTTTGTTGTGGTTTTTTTTTTTTCACAGTGACCTGCTAGCATGGGTAAGGCGTTAAATTCTTGGGAATTGATAGGTGTTGGGAAGCTGGGTGGTTTCTTATTCTGATGTCAGAGCCAGGCTTGGCGCTAGGGCCAGTGTCTCCCAGTTCCCTCCAGCGGCCTGTGCTTGGAAAATGGATGACTTTTCTTTGGAAATGGATCTTGTGATTCCTGAGTTGCTTTCTGGGTTAGACATGGCTCCACAATTATCTTTTCACATGGGTGGAGTGAGCAGCCTAGGCATCCCAGAAGGGGCCCACCTTGCCCAAAATAGGACCCAGGGAACACAGGACCTGATACTTCACTCCTTTGGGTAGCAGCCAGAGGGGCGGAGCTCAGGATTTGGAAGGACCTGAACATTCAGGTTTCATGATGGCTCCTTAACTCATTTCCTTTGTAACTCGAGGCAAGTCATTTAAATTCTGAGTCTGAATTTCCTCAGACTTCACAGTATTGTTTCCAGGATTAAATCAGAAAATAGATAAGAAGGAGAGGTGGGAAGCTCCACAAGCAAACAAATGAGTCCGGTTATTTGTGCCCCTCCCCTGGGTGATGTTCCACTCTTGACATGTCTCATTCCTACACCCAGTCTTACAAGCACCTCAAAGACAGGACCAGACTTGAAATTTAAGTATTGTTTCTATTTCATGCCACCCAGACATTTTAAATCTAATACTTTAGATAGTAAAGTTCGGTGGAAGTTTTTTTATTTTTTTAAGCAGATTTTTCCTATTACTCAATTGTTTAAGTTATCAAAGCACACAAGTTGGTATCTCTGGTTGTTTCATCTCTGCAAGCCAAGAGCATAGCTTAATGCTTGACACAGAGTAAAGGCTCAGTAAATTTTGATAGAAAGAAAGAATGGATGGATGGATGGATGGATGGATGAATGGATAAATGAATATATGGATGGATAGATGAACAGATGGATAGATGGACATTGGATGTATGGATGAATGGATAGCTGAACAGATGGACAGATAGGCATTGGATGGACGGATGTATGGATGTATTGATGGATGGATGGATGGATGGATGAATGGATGGTCATCTGGCCCTGATTTTGCCTTTATGACCCAATTCAGATGTAGCATTTATTATAACCCCATCAAGATCAAATCTGAATCCCAATCATAGCCTTGGTGATTATTCTGACAGTCTTGTGGGCATTGGTGGGAGCAGGGGAGGCTTTGGCAAATCTGCCTTCAACATTTCCTCTCCTGTGTACTGTTCCTCACACCCAAATGCCTCTTCATCACCCAGCTTCAACTTGCTACTCAACTGCTCCTTTCTAATGTCATCAACCCTGGGAAGCCTTCCTGGACCACACACCCCAGTCCACAGTGGTCTTTCTCTCCTCTGAGCCCATAGAAATGGAATGCCTAGCCATGGGCTCTCAAACTTAGGAGGCATGAGAATCGCCTGGAGGGCTTGCTACAATACAGATTGTTGGGCCCCACCTTCAGAGTTTTTGATTCCATAGGTATGGGAAGGGGCTTGAGATTTCCATTTTAACAAGTCCCCATATGATGCTCTGGCTGCTGGCCTGGGGACCATACTTTTAGAACATAGAGCTTAGCTCACCAGTCCCTGCAGAACTTGTAGGAAGTAGTAACTTTTTCTTAGAGGAAGGTTATTTCCAGGAAGAACTTTGCTGAGCACTGATATGGCACCTCCTTTCCACCTTGCAGCAATGCCCTGAAAAATGATGGCATTCCCCGCTTCAGTTTTCAGAAGAGGAAGCAGGCCCTCAGAGCGGGAGCAGCTCAGTGAAGGTCACAAAAGCCAGGTCTTCCCCCATTACCCTGTGCTTATGGTCTCCTCAGAAAGGCAACAGCCACACAAAAACAGAGTGATTCTGCCAGGAGCAGTAGCTGATACAGTGAAACCCATGACCTGTGAGCTCTGCACTGTCTCACAGTGGTGAGAGGGCAGTGGAAGGTGAGTGGATTAATTCAGGGTCAAGTGTGGAAAGGACCTGGGGAAGGAGAGTCTAACCCAGGTCACCCAACCAGCTACACCACCCTTGGCAGGTCAATTAACCTCTCTGGGCCTCCGAGGTCATCTTGCCCAAAGCTGTCTTCCTCATTTCCACCTCTGACTTCTATGCACATGCAAGTCAGCTCTGGAGAGCCATGGCCCACCCACATGCCCACCCACATGCCCGCCCACATGCTCGCCCACGTGCTTGAGCAGCTGAGAACCCTGTAGAGTGGGCTTTCCTGGGGGGTGTTATGCTCTCCATGCCACACAGGACAGCCGGGAGGGGCACAGCCCACCTCTTTGGCCCCTTTACATCCCTCAGCATCAGGGGCATCTAATTGTTCCTCCTGTGGCCTTTATAGGGCCAGGGAGGAAGTTACCAGAAGCCTGAAATGCAGACAACCAGTTCCTGATTTAAAGGAAACCTATCGTGTGGGAGGTACTTAAAAAAAAAAAAAAGAAAAGAAAAAAAGAGCCCATGGCTTCTCCAGTGCACTCCACATTTCAGGGCTGTGGTATCAGCCCTGAATTCACTCTGACTCCATTAGCAGCCTGAGCACTGGTGCTGAGACACCCAGACTCTCTGGAACCTTGAGAGAGCATCCCTGGAGAGCTGACTCAGCCTTTTGTCCTCCAGGAGGTAGAGAAATTGGATTCCAAGGCTCAGAGGTTGGCAGGTCTGCATCCAGAGGCAGAGAGATAAAGGACTGCTGCCCAAGTGGTGGGCAGCCCGGGGAGCCCTTTTAGAACAAAGGTGGACTCAGGAAAGGGATGGACAGAGGGAGGGAGGAGGAAGAATTGATTTATTGCCCACAGCTTTGTAGTAGGCACCGTGCCTGCCACATTATTAATCCTAACAACCAGCTTTCAAGGTAAATATTGTTACCCCATGTTTTGCAGTTGTCATGACTGAGGCTCAGACCGTGGAGTGACCTAAGTAACTAGGTGGTCTGGGGCAAGCAATAGAGCATACATTCAGATTCGGATGTGTCTAACCCATGCAGTGCCTCGGGACTGACCACCAAGAAGGAGCTATAAGGAAAGAAAGGCACCATGGTGAGCAGCCCTGAGCCATTGCCTGGTCTCACCGGAGTGGTACATCCCAGGTACCCAGCTGAGGCTTACCAGACCCTGACCCCAGGAACACCTGGTCCCTGCAGAACAACATACGCAACAGAGTGGTGTTTGGGACAGTTTAGATGAGACATTTATCTATAGGCATTTGTCATTATGCAAATCTACAAGTCATATACCTAGGGTTGAGAAGGATTTGGAATTTAATGTCTTCTAGCTGGTGAGGGGTCATAATGACATAAAGAGGTGTTCTGTTTGTTCTTCCCCAAGTCCAGGGGCTCAGTGTGGATGGAAGCGCTCATTCCACTGTTAGCAACACCTGGCTGTGAGCTCAAGACCCCATCATCTTGCATATGGGAGGAAGGATGGAATCAGGGATCCCAGGAGCCACTTTTCACCTGCCTTCCCTCTGCAGATAGAGACTACATCTCTTCAGTCTCCTTCCTAAAATAATGAAAGCTCATGATATGGCTTCACATGCTGAGGGTGTGCTATAACCCAGCCAGTGTGCTATGCAGTGTACACGCCACCATCTCATTTCATCCTTAGCGTGTCCTTCTGAGGCAAATATTCTTCTTACAAACCAAGGCCAGCCCAAGTCACACTGCTAGAAAGTGACAGAGATGGGCTTCAAAGACCTGTCTGCCCAAATCCAAACCCACACCCTTGCCCTTGCAGTCTTTGATCTCCCAAAGGACAACATTGCTGTCAACCTTCCTGTTGTCCCTCTGCAGCCTGGCGTCCAGTCCGTGCTCCCTGCCTGTTTATCTCCTTAAGATATGCCACCACTACCCCTGTAGACAAGCACAGAGCAGGCCCCGGGCCTCCGCCTGCTTACCTGCTGACAGCCCCACCCTGTGGAATTAACCTCCTTTGGCCAGCGCATGGCCCTCCGGGCTCCTAGTGGACTCTCAGCCCAGACTCCCTGATCCTGTACTCATGGAGCTCACAACCTACAGGTAGAGGCCGACACTAAACAGAGACATATCATCACAAACTGCCACTTGTGCTATGAGAGCAGCTAGCAGGGAGGTCTGTTGTGACCCAAAGGTGAGGGAGGGCTGCTGTTTGTGCTGGCCTTTGAGGGTGAGGAGAGCTTCCCCAGGCAGAGGATGTGGAAGGGGGAAAGGGTGTCCCAGGTAGGGGACAGGCACACACAACGGCCAGTGGTGGAAGACATCAAAGCTTTCAAAGGATAAAGGAAGCCAGGTTGGGTAGAGTTTGGAGTTCTGGGAGTGAGAAATGAGAAGAGGCTGCAGAGGTGAGCTGAGGATTTAGGGTTTCCTGAAACCGAAGGGAAGACACTGGCATCTTCCAGTAGGGGTGATGCAGTCGGGTTCATGCCTTTCAAAGGTCTCCACGGCTGCCGGGAGTGGAGGAGGAAGTGCTGCCTATCCACTAGTGCACACAGCAAATCCACAAGGCAGCAAGGTTAGCCGAGGCTCAGAAGTGAGGACTCTGAGGCTCACAGGCATGGATGGGCCAGTCTTATCTTCAAACAAGCACAGATGCAAACAGGCCTGTCCTTTGAAAACTTCCTGCTCTCCAGGAAGCCTTGTTGACTCTCTCCAGCTCACCAGGCTGGCTCACCAGGCTGACTCTCAGCCTCCGGGCAGTTCCAGGTGTGCACCTGTAGTCTCATACTTGGTCCCATCTTCAACTAACCACAGCGAGCTGTGATATCTCTGCCACCTGACTGAGCATCTTGAGGCAAAGATTCTCTTGCTTGACTCCACATCTCCCTCACTCCCATGCTGCTTAGCACAGAGCCTCACAGAGAGGGACCAGGCCAGAGCTGTCCAATAGAACTTTCTGCACTGTCAGTTCAGGAACCACTGGCCACAGGGGCGACTGGGCATTAGATATGTGGCTAGTGCAAATGAGGAACTGGCTTTTTAATGTTATTTTATTTCAATTAATTTAAATTTAAATAGCTACAGGACTCAACACTCCATAAATAGAAAGGGGGGAAGGAAGGAAGTGGAAGGAAGGAAGTGGAAGGGAAGGGAAGGGAAAAGAAGGGAAGGGAAGGATGTTGACCGCAACTCCTACCCGACAACAGCAAGGACAGCTACAGGTTGGTGTCTGGCTGACATTCGAGCACAGCCCCAGGAGGGCCTAAGCCCAAGGAGTCGAGAGAATAGCAAGTGCTTAGAGTCTCAATGCTTAGAACCGCAGCCCCCAGGATGTCAGGCAGAATGGGCCCTTGGAGCCCAGCCCACCCTTCTTGTCCTGCAAATGAGAACTGAGCCCAGAGAAGGGCAGGGACTGGGCCAGGGAGGCCCACAGGAGATGAGCCTCAGAGCACTGTGTCTCTAGGTCCTGCCTAGGTAAGTGGAGGAGGCCCCGTGTGAGACGGAGCTGAGAGAGGTGAGGAGTCCACAGTGCCAGATGTAGATGCTACATGCTCCTGCCCCGTCCCCACACCTCTCTCCCTCCCACCCTCCCTTCCTCCGCCTCCATCTCCGCATTAGCAATATATTTCCAGGACACTCTAATGAAGTACATCTTGAGTCTCCTTTTCATGGCTAATGAGGAGACAACAAGAATTTGACTAATACCAGTACAATTACTGGAGCAGTGAAGCGAGGGCCTCTGATTAGACGTGATAATTTGCAAGGCTGGGCTCTTCACATTAAGTTTGCAAACAGTTTAAAAATCACTTCCTCTATTTATCCAGCTAATCCCTGTTTAATGACTCCAGACCTAAGGAAAGAAAGGGGAAATGTCTCTTTAAAAATTAATAAATAAATAAATTAAAACACTAACAACCCAAATCTTATTTGCAGAGACAAGAGAGGTGGCGGAAGTGCGGCCGACTGTCGTCTTTTCATGCAGACTCTGCCAACATTGCGCAGCTCGAAGGACTTTGCCATCCCTGAACCATGGTCATTGCATTAGCTCCAGCCGCTGCCCCTGTCTGGCTGCTCCTTCTCCTAAGGGGGCTTGCTTGTCCAGCATGGGGAGACAAGATCAGCTCCCTGCCGATGGGGCTGATGGCCTGATTCGGGAACTGCTGGAGGTGGTCATTGGTCTCCCAATGCTGTTGAAAGAATGGGTGCAGGTGAAATTCTGTTGTAGCAGAGGATTCTTTATAATCTCATCACACAAAGTGTGGTCCCTGGGCTGGCAGTATGAGGATTACCAGGGAGCTTTTCACGAATGCAGAAACTCAGGCCCCACCCAGACCTGCTGATGTGGAATCTGCATTTTCACAGGCTCCCTGGGTGACACCTCTGTGCACTGAGGTTTGAGAGGCACTGCTGTGCATCATATCATTTTCCTGTGTCCCAGGGTGACCTGCTGACACATGGTGGTGTTGATTTCCATACTATTGATTTCACAGATCCGTACTTGCTACAGTGTATTCCTCAAAGCCTTGTAGCAGAGATTATGCAAAAGAAGAGAACGTTTGGGAAACTCTGGGTTAAACCAAATTAAAATTATTTGTTTATGGCAGGTTTTACAGCATCTTTATAATACCAATAAGCGTTTTGATGTCTGTGAAGGGAAGTACAGTCTGAGAGGTTTTCCAAAACCTGAGGAGGTGCCCCTCTTGGTGTGTGGGGACCATCACAGACTACACGTAACCCACTGAGTACCAGTTTAGAAAGAGCTGCTATGGACAGTGGCCGATTCCACCAGAGAAATGCAGCTCTCTGGCTGCATCAGTTTCCTCTACCACAAATGTACATCCAGAAAAAAATGCTGAGGGCTCCAAGTGTCCATCAAAAAACAAAACAAACAAAAAAAACCCTCCTCTCATTGCCTTCCTCCAGCACTCTTACCCTCAAGCAGAGAAATCCCCCCAAGAATCAAATATCTAGACCATCAAAAGAAAAAAGAAACGGATCTAAAGGTGGGAGGTTGGGGATATCACCCTCTTTCTCGTAATAATTAATGTTACAGGTAAGGACAGTCACACCATTTCTCTTCCACTTCTTGTCAAAGTAAACGAAATGGCCTAAGGGCCAAGAACTGCTAAAGGGTGATATGTGAGGCTCAGGCTGTTCCAGGAGCTATGTGCTTAGCATCAAATCTGCATGAGAGCCTAGAGGGAAGCACATTTATTAGGCCCATTTTGCAGATGAAGACAACAAGCCCACCAAGGTTTTACAGCTTATTCTACTCAACCCAGCTAAGCAAGCAGTGCAACGACATTCAAACACAGGCAGGCTGCTTAGGCTCCACTCTGCTCCATGCAAGGTGTTGAGGGGATGAAATTAGATTTAAATCCTAATTAACAAACACAAGCACCCACATACTCAAATATATGACCCCAGTCCCTAAACACACTGATGCAAAATTAAATTTCCATACGTACACGAGTATACGTATGCATGTACATGACAACATAAAGTGAAATTTCTTTTGCCTGCTGATATCGTTTGGCTGTGTCCCCACCCAAATCTCATCTTTAATTGTAGTTCCCATAATCCCCACTTGTTGTGGGAGGGACCTGGTGGGAGGTAATTGAATCATGGTGTCATGGGGGCAGTTACTTCCATGCTGTTCTCATGACAGTGAGTGAGTTCTCACGAGATTTGATGGTTTTATAAGTGGCTTTTCCCCTTTTGCTTGGCACTTCTTCTTCCTGCCACCATGTGAAGAAGGACATGTTTGCTTTCCTTTCAAACATGATTGTAAGTTTCCTGAGGTCTCCCCAGCCCCGCGGAACTGTAAGTCAATTAAACCTCTTTCCTTTATAAATTACCCACCCTTAGGTATGTCTTTATTAGCAGCATGAGAACAGACCAATACACCTGCAAAACTTGGAAATCACAGAATCAGGAACAGTTCTCAACAATTACCAGCAAACAGCTCATTTCATCCTCACAATGCCCCTGAGAGTAAAACAACAGGGATTCTTACCTCTCACTTTATGGGAGGGAAAACCAAGGAAGGAAGTGATTTGTCCAAGATCTCATGCTCACCAAAGGTGGTCCGGCATGGATGTGGTGTGGGTCTTAGGATTTCCTAGGGCCTGAGGCCTCGTTCAGACCACTAGCGGAGGCAACTGGCCCTCCTCAGAAACTTCCCTGCCTTTATGGTCCAGGAGAATCTAAAGCCCACCCAGGACGGAGGGAACTTCAGAACGGTAACACTGGAAAAACCCAAGAGTCACCAGTAAGAGACCGTGGAGCAAAGGCTGTGGGTGTATGTGTTTGAGCCTCGACTATCTCTCTCACATACATGCACAGCCCTCGTGTTTTACACAGCCCAGGGTGTTATCACAGCTGCTGACTGCCAGGATCCTGCACACAAGCCACCCTGCTCCCCCATGCTGGCGGAGACCAGCCTTAGCCAACTATTACTACCAAAACAGGGGTCTGAGGCCCATGGGCAAGGGTTGAGCGGAGCCAAGAGGTTGTCATCTTGAAAGAAGGTAAGAGGAAGCTAATGATGGGAGGAGAACAAAGCAAGGATGTGGGGAAAGACCAGGCACTGCCAGGTGTGGAGGTGATGGGCAGGGCAAGCTGGGGCCTGGTAGGTGCTCAGACTATTAGTGCAGAGAACTGGAACCTCGCCCTGTTTGTCTGCAGGTGCACCATGTGACTGTGCCCTGTCTCCTCTGCCTCAGTGTGCCCATCTGTAAAACCAACCCGCTCAATCATTTACTGACGATCTTCTGTGAGAATGCCTGGCATGTGTGCCTGAAGCCCCTCTGCCCAGGCATTCGGGGAAGGGAAGGAGCACCTTGGGGAGCCCCCACTCACCCATGGGATTGCTCAAGTATCAGGCCTGATGGGAAGTGATTCTTCCCCTTGGCAAGCTGCCCATGTGCTGCTGTGTGACCTAGATCGAGTCACTGTCCCTCTCTGGGCTTGGGAGCGTCATCTGGCTCCTGGAAACATAGGCCCAAGTGGCTATATCTTCCCCAGAAGTGTGACATATGAGGAGGAAGGATTTTAAGCCCAGATTGACCTGCGTTCAAATCCCCAACTTCATTGATTTCTCATTTCCTCAGTTTTCTCCCATGCAAAAAGTGAATAGTAATGCTGGCCACATGGGTAGCAGGAAAGGCACATATTAGACCATGGAAAGGAACTGGAATACAGTAGGGCCATCCAAAAGGAGGGAAGAACCTTGCACCTTTGGCTTCCACAAACAAATACAAAGAAAGCCCTGGCTGCGGAATCGGCATGGTATTTGTAGGTGTCTGGGTTTAAAAACTCAAATGCCGGAAATAACTATGGCACAGCCCTTGCCAACAGAGAACCACAGAGATTGCTGTGTTGTCAGTGTGGAGGGATCTCCAGGTAACATTGTTCAGTGGGAAAAAATAAGGTGCAGGGCAATGCATGCAGAAAGCTTCCTTTGGGGTAAGAAATGAAGAAGATCCAAATGTAGGTGTGTAGTTTCTCCTATCTGCCAATAGAAACTGGATGAATAAACAAAAAACAGGAGGGAAACATGTACTCGCAGAGGCAGGGGGCATGGCTTGGAGGTAAGTACACCTTTTCATTCAGTAATCACTTTTGAGTCACATTCAAAATTAATCAAAAATAAAATGAAACAAAACAAAGCTTAAACTGCCTTGCAGTAGTCAGGCAGTTTGGGGAACTGGAGTGAGCCAGTTGGCTTCTCTAATCCAGATGGACAGGCAGACAGACAGATAAACAGTTTAGAGGCCAAAGTCCCAAAGGGGCTGAGGAATGGGCCTACCAGGCAGCCAGAGCCACTCCCAACCCCACATCCCAGAAGGCAGCCCTGAACCCGCTCACCCAGACCCCTGCTGACGGAGCGCTCCACTCCCGGATTCCTCCTGGAATGAAGGCTTTCTCTAAGCTCACTGCAAAACATCCTGGCTGGATCTGTGAACGGGACTCCAGAAGCATCCCCTGGAGAGAGGCAACTCACTTCCTAAGGACATCTTGGCCTTGTGCAAGGCCTGCAGCAGGAGAGAGGAGAACAGGCCAGGCTCTTGTTACTTCCAGCCAGCCTGGGCCCACAGCACAGCTGGGTGCTGACTGGGTGCCACGCCTGGGCTAGGCCAGTCACTGGGTAAGGGCAATGGTGGGTGTCAGGGAGTCTCCTCACACCTCGCTCCCTACCCACCCCTTTAGGCGCGCCCACCCAACACCCTACTCTGAACAGCTTTGGGGGCTGTGCAGGGCATGTTGAGAGAGAGATGAGAAGGGAACCCCCATGCTAAGGTCTCAGCAGCCCCCAGCCCACGTACCCAAGAATGCAGGAAGCAGCAAGATGCACTGGCAGAGCCTGGGAGTGGTGGCAGGGCCCGAGGCTGCCACACAATAGTCACTTAGGCAGGTCCCTCCTCTCTGGACCTCGCTTCTTCCATCTGTATTAGGGACTTTTTAGCATAGAACTCTATTTTCAAATGTCATCTTACTTAGAACTTGGCATGTAGGCAAAACCAGTGTTCGCTCTTCTGGGGCAGGAGGGGTAGCAAGCCAAGCCTCACCCCAATGCCCACCCCTGGCCCCTGAGCAGCCCCTGGGCACTTCCTTGGACCCCTGGCTTTCCTCGAAATCCCCAGTTCTGCTTTTTGTTAGATTCCAAGTGGTCCCAAGGACCCCGGCTCCCATTTGTGCCCCACACACACCACACACACCAACTCACTGCTTTGCCAGTGCCTTTCCAATCTTGATCTTGCTGAGCTCCACACCTGAGTGCTCACTACCCACTGGATACCTCCCCTAGAAGGCTGCAGGCATCTCACACATGAGCTGCCCAAGCAGACAAACACTTCTCCCCTCACAAGCCAGCTCCTACCCTGGGGTTCCCATCTCTGGATGATGGGCCCCAGCCACTGTGGCATCCAAACCAGAAACTCTGCTCGTCTCTTCCTCACAACTGCCCCTATCCAAATCTGTGCTGTCATCAAATGCTTTCAAATCAGCCCTTCCTCTTCATCTCAGCTCTGTTGTTCTGGTTGGGGCTCACAATCATCACCACCATCTCCATCATCATCACCACCATCTTACCATTACATAGCCATCATCATCCCCACCACCACCATCACCATCATAACCATTCTCACCACCATCCCACCATCATTAAAACTATAACCATCACCATCATCATCACCACCATCATTATAATCATCACCGCCATCTTACCATCACAACATAACCCTCATCATCTCCCGCACCACCATCACCATCATCATTATAACCATCCTCACTGCCATCCCACCATCCCACCATCATTATAACTATCATCATCACCATCATCATCACCACCATCACCATCACCACCATCTTACCATCACATAACCATCATCATTCCCACCACCACCATCAATATCATCATCATAACCATTTTCACCACCATCCCACCATCGTAACTATCATCATCACCTTCACCATTATAATCAAGATCATCACCATCATTATAATTATCACCACCACCATATTACCATCACATAACTGTCATCATCAACATCACTGCCATCATCACCACTATTACCACTATCATTCCCACCACAAACATCAACATCATTATCACAGTCATCTTTACCACCATCTCACCATCCTTATAACTGCTATCATCACCATCACCATTATTATCCTCACCATCACCATTATTATCATCATTACAATCATCATCACCACCACCATTTTAGCATCACATAGACATCATCATCATCACCATCTTCACCACCATCACTATCTTCATCCATATGATTATTATCCATGCCTCTTCCATCACTGTCTTCATCCAAGTTATTATTATCCCTGCCTCTTCCTAGGTCTCCCATCATCTGTACATGCCCTTGCTTGTCAACCTTCTACCTGGCATAGTTGCTGTTCCTGAATCCCAGACACAGTCATGATCATTACGCTTTGTAACTTCCCTCTCCCCTCAGAGCAAAGGTCACATATTTTAGCATTTGGCCATTTACAATCTGACTCCAATCTAGTGCTCCAAACTCATCTCCCACCAGGCTCCACCCTTATCCCAACAACACAGGGCTCAGCCCCACCCAACACCTTCGTGAACATATCACATCTTTCCCCTGTCTCAGTACATGCTCTTCTCTCAGTCTGAAATTCCCATCCTCTTCTCTGACTTCTGAATCCTACTAATCCCTCAAGGCCCAGATCCTCCAGGAAGAAAGGGTCAGTCTCCCCACCTGGGATCCTGAGCCCTTGCCCTAACCCCCACCCAAGTATCCAGTCACATGAACACTCCCAATAATCTTATGATTACAATAACACCCCTCCCACCATTAGACAGAGAGCATGGTGGTCTGTGAACAACATTGCTCTTCTTGATACCAGCCTTGCCACTGTCCCATCCCAGGGCTGGTCTGGCACAGGGCAGGAGCCTAAAGAGAATCTGATAAATTGTGATAGCTGGCAAGAACAGAGGCAGGGGAAATGAGGAAGGAATACTTTTTAACTGTGTAATACCAGCCTGTGTATCCTTCAACCAGAGCCCAGCCCACATCCAAATCAGCCATTCCCCTGTACCAAACTCAGAGGATAGAAGAAGCATAGTGCCCATTCTGTGAAAAAAGGAAGATCTATCTCTCCTGGTTCCTCCTCAAACACAGCCACTCTTACCCGGCCCTCCCAAGTTGTGCTGCAGGAGACAGCAGAGAAGTCACAGCACCCAGAAGCCTAAGCCACGGTGCTGCCTCCCAGTGCCTGAGCTCCCCACCTTTGGTGCCATGTCCAGACTATCCGGATGGTGGGTGAATCCATTCACTCACTCACAAACTTTTACTGTGCCCCCACTAAGTGCCAGGCTCTGTACCAGGCAGAGGAAATCAGCAGAAGTTGACTTGGGCTCATTCTGCTTTTTGAGTTGGATTTGGGGCTGAAGATCAATGTTATCATTTTCCGCCTAGACCTCCCTTCCACTCTGCTCTAAGAATTCGCTGCACCCAGTACCTCCATGTTTCACTCCTCAGGAAAGGCATCCCTTCTTGATGAAACAGACCCTTGGAGCAGGCCACTGTCCTCAGCATACTCAAGTCAGATGACCAGTATTTGCACCCTGGCTCTAGAAAACGTCACCTTGCAGCATGACCTTGGGCAGGAGACGTGCCCTCTTGTGCTCCCTGTTAAAGAAGGGTGGGATGTTCTTCCCCAAAAGCCAAAAGGGTAGCTTAGCTCCTACACTCCTACACCCAAGGGGTCCAGCTCCCTCCAGCCAGGACTGCTACTGACTGCCACATCTTGAGGGGCCTAGAGTATGAACAGGGGTGGACAAGAAAGAACAACACATCCCCGTAGCCCTGCCTGCAGAGGTCTGACCACCACTTGGGGAGGGACGGGGCTCCAGCACAGAGGAGGAGGGATGTTGTGACCTTCACCCACCCTACTCCCATTCTACTCTCATGATCTTAGCATGGAGTGCCAGCCAGCCCATCACAACTTGATGTGGATGCTTTACTCAGCAGGGGCCTCCCCTTTACAAATAAAAGAACTCTTCTCTCCAGAACTTCAGGGCCCAGACAACAGCCAGGTAGTTGTCTTGGGACCTAGAGTCCAGCCCCTTCTAAACATGATACTACCCTTCAGGGTCACCAAGGGTCCCAGCCTTTTTTGGGCCAAATATGGGGAAGAGACACCAAGTCAAGGGATTTGGGACAGGTAGACAAAGGCCACCAGCACAGAAAACAAGAACTGTAAAGACAGGTAAATTGAACCTTAATCACAGCAAAATGGGAAAAGACCAGGACTGCCCTCATTTAAGGAGACAGAGCATGAAACCAGGCTGCCTGGAAATCTGAACTTAGTGTCAGCCTCACAGGGCCCTCATAGCACTTATTTGGCAGAGGAGAAACTGAGGCCTAGGAGGGGAGCTTGGTGAAGGCCCGTAGCTGGTGTGATCCAGGGAATGGCCCACTCCAGACAAACTCAGCTCTCAGGCCCACCTCTGAGGAGGCTCCACCAGGGCCAGAGCCTGCCTCTTCACTTCAAAGCATGAGGCTCCTCCTTGAGCCTCTTTGGAGGGCAGGATTAGGGCATGTCCACAATAGCAGGCCCAGGGACAAGGTAGGACTCTTTCCCCAGGAGGTAGGCTTAGGAGCCCGGCTTCCTGCTCTGAGCACACCCAGCACGAGGGGTGGAGGGCCAGAGGCTACAGACGCCCCAAGTAGCCGCAGGGGCAAACTCTCAGACTGGGTCCCTATCCTATGCCCACCCAGCCCCACTCTGACCCTGCTCCATCTCCTCCCCTCACTCACCCCACCTCTTTCAGTCTTTCATCCTCTTTTTTTTTTCTTTTTTTTTTTTTTGAGACAAAGTCTCACTCAGTCACCCAGGCTGGAGTGCATTGGCGCAATCTCGGCTCGCTGCAGCTTGTGCTTCCCGGGTTCAAGCAAGTCTCATGCCTCAACCTCCTGAGTAGCTGGGATTACAGGCACGCACCACCATGCCTGGCTAATTTTTTGTGTTTTTAGTAGAGACAGGGTTTCACCATGTTGGAAAGGCTAGTCTTGAACACCTGACCTCTAGTGATCAGCCCATCTCGGCCTCCTAATGTGCTGGGATTACAGGCGTGAGCCACCGCATCCGGCCCGTCTTCTTTTCTTTTTCTATCACTTCTTGATTTCCCCCAATTCTCCCTGTCCCCTTCCTCTCCCAGAATCTCCTCTGCTCTCTCAGTTTTTCTCACTCTGCTTCCCTCTCCCTCTTTTCCTATGTGTCTAGCTGTCAGGCTCAATGCCTCTGTCTTTGTCTCTGTCTTCCTCTCCGAATCACGATTTCTCTGTATCTCTCTCTCTGCCTCCCTCTCTCCGTGCCTCTCTGTCTCTGTCTCTCTCATCTCTCTCTCCCTCCACCTCTGTCTCTGTCTGCATGGTATGTGGTGTCAGGGCTTCCCCTCTGTGTACGTTGCTCAGGACTTTGTCTTTATGTGTCTGTCTCTGTCTCTCTCTTACCCCCCACATCGGGTGTGATGTGTTTGTGTGTGTGTGTGTGTGTGTGTGTGTGCATGCATGTGTGTAGTTCACCTTCCCCATCTTGCCCATTTCTCCCTCCTACCTACAGTTCCTGCTCCCATCTCTCAGCCCAGCCCACTTTCAGAACAGCCCTCCATGGTGCAGGAGGCCCGGACAGGCAGCCTGGTGAATGAGCTGCCCCACTTTGCCCTCCAGTGTGTGTTTTTGTTCACCCACGGGTGTTTGTTTACCTCTCACTTGGTGTTGCCTATGCAGCTGAGAGCTCACTTTCGTGTTTATTACCTCGTTTGCTCTTGACAGAGACTCTGTGAAGGAGGCAGAGTGGGGAAAGGCAAGAGCTATTACTTCTATCTGGATGCATGAAGAAAGAGAGGCTCAGAGAGCTCAAGAGCTCATCTAAGGTCACACAGCTGTCAGGGCCATCTTCCCGACAGGAGCATCAGCAAGTATTGATTGGGGCATCTGTGCACTGTGTGTTCCAGCCTCACACAGTGCCCGGCACTGCTCAGCCACCAACTTATGTGGCTACAATGAGCTCCCTGAACCCTGAACTTTTCTGGGCTTGCTCTGACCCAGATTTTTCCAGATCAGCCAAGCTGACTCCAGGAGGGGCAGCACCGCAGTCCTAGGCTGTGCCGGTAACCTGAGGCCTGGTGATTTCTGGAAGTGAGTCTCTCGGGACCGTAGCCTGGCCCTGTGGAATGGCGAGCGGCAGGAGGTCCCAGGCAGTGCTGATGAGTGCCCCAAGCCCTCTGCACAAAGCAGCCCACAACGGAGTGCAACGGGGATCCTTTGTCCTAGGCCTGGAGTGCAGCCAGCTGCCCTGCAGCCTGGGAGGGATCTGCACAGTCACTGGGGAGGTGGTGCTTCCGAGCACGGAGGTGCACCTGCTGAGTAGTTCCTCGGGCATCACAGCCACCTCCAACACCTCATGTCCCGCCCAAGCTCAGCATCTCCTTCTGCCACCCACTTCTGACCTGCTTTCCCTCCTAGATGCCTCTTGGGAAACAGAGACCACCACCACCCATCAGCACCCCTGCCAGCAACCTGGAGTCATCAGTGGCTTTCAAAACACCTTTACCCCTAAGCCAGGTTCTGGACCAAGTCCCAGGAAAGCCACCTCCAATGGGCCTTACTTTCTGAGCATCCTGACATCAGTGAGCTTGCTCTCCTGCCTCTGTTCTCATGCTCACCAAGTGACTATCTAATTATAATTTGAACTTCCTTTTAGAATCGTCTCCCAGAAGAGAATCCTCTGAGTAGGGTGATGAGGCTATTCTACTCAACATAGCTCTTGTCATTCTCTTTGTAAATGTACTATTTGGTATGATTTACTAAAAAATAAAATAGACTATAATAATATGTCCAAACTTGATGGAGAAATCTGAGGACAGTCACTTAACAACAACAACAAAGCATGATGATGGCCAAGAAAAAACAGGTGTGTATGACTATATAGCCTTCAAACTCCGAGAAGGCTATGATGAAAGAAGAGGTATGTTCATTTTTGCAGCCTTAAGACTCACATGTAGACAGATTTAAACAGAAGTATTACCTTTCTAAACAGCAGGTAGTGAGCTGCCTGTCACTGGAGGCATGCAAAGTGCAACTGCAAATCTTGGCAGGAGTACTGCAGAGAGGTGTCACTCCTGAGCCTTCCCTCTTTTTTCCACTGTTAACACATTCACTCAATCACAAAGCTTCAATGACTCTTAAATCTACCTGTCCCCTTCCCTCCACACAGCCACCATCCTGGGCCAACTCTGCATCCCCTCCTGCCTGTTGACAACAGCATTTCTGAGATGCGCCCCGGCATCCAGCCTTGCTCCCTTCTCCTCACTGCTTCCCACACAGAAGACAGAATGATGCTCAGGAAGCAGGAATAAGTTCACTCTGCTCACCTAACACAAACCCTTACCAGGCTTCCACAGCCCCCAGGTAGAATCTCACCTCCATAGTGTGGCTACCAAGACTCATCTTCCCCCATCTTGACCCCCAGTCCAGGGTATCTTCACCACCCACACCCCCACACATGATGCCCAGCCAGGGGGGAATGCCTGCTACTGCCACTTCTCCTTCTCCTGCTTCTCTCCTCCTCCTCCTTCTCCTCCTTCTTCTCCTTCTCCTTCTTTTTCTCCCTCCTCCTCTTCCTCTTTCTTCTCCTCCTCCTCTCCACTTTCTCTCTCTCTGCCCACCCCTGCCCCAACTCTCTGGCCTTGCAGGCCCTGCCCTTTTGGCCTGGGACACTATCTCCCTGCCATGTTTGCCTGGCTGACTCTTATTTGTCCATCCCATTCAAGCTCCCACCTCCCTGTCAGAAAGCCCTCCCGGGCACCCCATGCACATCCAGCCCAGGGAGGCTCCTGCCCACAGCCCATCTCATGCTGCATCATGTGTGGCTAGTGCCTTCCCCTAGAGAATAAGAACCAGAGGTCAGAGACAGTGACGGCTTCAACACAGCAGGCCCCCTAGCCACAATGGATGGGATCAGGAAAGGCTGGTTGAAGGCAGAAAATAGGGAAGAAGGCTGCTCCATGCAGGAGGGGACACAAGCCGAGGTGCTGGCTGCCCTTGGGGTCCTGCCTGACCTAGCTTTCTAGGGCTCAGTTCTGGCCATGAGGAGCGAGAGGAGAGCGTATCAGACAAGGCTGGGGCCCCCCAGATACATTTCTGCTCTGTTATTTGCACTGCTGGCTTCCCAGAGAGCACAACCCCACCATGTGCCAGAGGCCAGGCCAGGAGTGGAGCAAGCAGGGACCGGCAGCCGTGGGCCCCGCAGGCCGCAGTGCTCCTGCGGCTTCTCATGCCAGCTCAAGGCACAGTCCCCACACACCGAGCTGCTCCTGAGCATCAAGGCCTCTCTGTGCCATTTGGAATTCATTGCAGCAAGAGCTGCACTGAGCACCAGATCTGGCTAACAACAGTGCAGAATTTTCAGGGTGTCACGTGGATTCTCTATCTGGTTCCTGGGAACCAAGGACACAGGAATGGTTCTCCTTCCTCTCCTTGTGCTGTCAGAGACAGCCATGCAGGACTGAGAGGAACGGAAAAGTGGGACAGGCAGGCCCCCAGACCATAGCTCCCCACCTGGGCCCCAGGCCCTGAGCCTGGCAGCAGGAGAAAAATAAAAGCCAGTCCTCTCTCCTCAGCCCCAGTGCACTCCGGTATATCTACCTCCACTAGTTAATGCTTACAATGCGCCAGAACCCGTTTGAAGCATTTTATATACATCATATATTCAATCCTCACAGCAACCCTGAGCGGTGGGCACTAGTGTTGGCTTTGTCTGACAGAGGCGAAAGCTGAGGCATGGAGAGACTTGGAAACTGACCCAGAGTCCCACAGATATACATATAGGTCCAGGGTTCAAACACCGCTTCCGGAATATCCCCTGAGCACCATAGCCAGACATAAAGGCTGCAACCAATGTTGTCCTTCAAACTGGGGCAATGAGTTGCATTTGTGCCATAGCAGGGAACAGCTTTTTCTGCTGCTCCACTGTGGGATCATCACCTTCCCAGGTGCTGAGAAACTGAGAAAAATATTTCAGACATGGGTGGTTGAAGTCAACAACAGCCCAGTAGCTGTCACGGAAATCATTCGGGGGCCCTCGTTTTTCAGGATTAGAAGGAGACTGTCAGAGTGACAAGGGAAGAAGGCAGTGGGTCTGTGCCTAGTCTTAGCTCTGTCACTCAGGTTCACAGCCCACCGAGCCTCAGTTTCTTCCCTTGGAAAATGGAAGGATAAATCAGCCCCACAGTGGAAAAAGAGAGGATTAAGAGAGAAGGAGAAAGATTTCTTTTTAAGCATAAAAAGGACTTGGCCCAGGGCCTGACACACGTAGTAGGCCTTCAGTAATGCAGCTTAGGTCTGGATATAAAAGCTAAGCAAACATACCCCCAAGGAGAACTGGGGGCTTCAGAGCTGACAAGAGAAGCTGACAGGCCAGCCAGAGGGAAAGGGCAACTCGGGAACCATAGAAAATGTGTACGCCTTGCAAGGGGAGGGGACAAGCCCTCGAGGGACAAAGGCCAGTGTGGCTGTGAGCCCACAGGTCCCCTCTTGGCTCTAAGCCACCTTCGAAGGGTCTTACGAGAGCCCATTCAGCCAGGCAGTTTTATCTTGTGGCAGCTGAGGGAAGGGGCTCCAGCTCCATTATCCTCCACCCTACTCTGGAGTTACAAAGAAAATACAATTTATCTGGATTGTAAATCAAGGGCTGGGGACCAGGGAAAGGAGCAGCCTGAATCACAATTCCCAAGGAACGTTTTACAAAATCTGCAGAGAGAAAGTCATTTTCTGCAGCCATGGACGGCCAGCTTACAGAAGGAGGAGGCATCCAGAGCTGAAAGTGACTGTTGCAAATATAAAATGCCACCCAATATTGAGCAAATGAGGAAACTGGGACCACAGAGTGGAGAAGGGCCTTGCCAGGGTCCCTCAGTGACATGGTGGCAGAGCTGGACCTAAGTCTGAGGCTCCAAGTTCAGTGCTGCTTCCTCTCACCTGTGCCAGGCAGAAATAAACTCAAGGGTGAGAACCCTACAGCATAGCTCAAGAAGTGAGACTGTGGACTGAGGGAATCCCAGTGCTCCCTTCCCTAAGCTAGGAGCCATGGGCCCAAGAAGAAGGAGAGGTATCCAGACAGTCCCCTGAGCCCCTGAGGAATAAAAGCCATCAACACCTTAAGATTTGCTGGGCATTAGGAGACTGTGCTCAGTGGCAGAGAAATAAAGTGGACATCAAACCCCTGGTTCAAACCCTGCTTCCACCCCTGCCATGAATAGGGGTGAGCCTAGAGCTTACCAATCCAAGCCTCAGTTTCCACATCTGGTAAAGGGCGAGGAGGCTTTTTTGCCTTGGAAAGTTACTGGGAAGCTTCATGAGATAATTTGCACCAAAGTGCATCCGTGCCTGGCACCTAGTGGATTCTCAGCCCGTGCTTGGGGAATACAACAGATCCCTAGTCAATGGTTGTGAAATGCCAAGTAGAGACTGGAAAATTCTACTGGGTGCTTGAGCAGAGTGTGGTGTCTGGGCCTGGCATCTGCCAAGGCCTGAGTGGGCTCTTTCTCCTGAAGGCCCACATGTGCCAGGGATGGATGTGACCACTCCAAGAAGAAAGAACAGGGCATTGGAGGGCAGTGAAACAGGAGGTAGGACACAGTCACCTGTCTAGCTCCACCACTCATCCAGTGTGCCCACCTGGGAGAGTTGCTTCCCCACTCTGGGATCACATTTCCCCTTTGCAAAATTAGATCTTTTTCTTTCATCCTTTTAAAGTGCCATGGGTGCCCTCACATCACTGCTTCTTCCTGAGCCTCAGTTTCCTCCTCTGTGAGATGGGGATGGCATGGCCTTCCACTCGGTGCAGTTCTGGTCCCAGCATGCTGTCGATTTGCTGGGGGACCATGGCACTGGCAGCATGTGTCTTATTAGAGGTCCCTTTCTTTCTAGATGCCATTCTTAAAGATTTCCTCAAAGGTACAGGCAGAGATGTGAGTCAAGCAAGATGAGCCTGCAAAGGAACCAAGGCATCCTCAAGCCACTAGACCCCAGTCATTGAGAGACCATGGCTTTGCAGCCCTGCTCCCCCGGGGCTCCTGATGCCAGTGGGGCAGGCAGAGCATGACACGGTGTGACCAGTGCCGTGAGGACAGAGACGATGCAACATGGGGAGCACAAAGGGTGAGCAGACATTGCCTGTGAGTCCTGCCCGGGGGTCAGGAAGGCCCGCCCAAGTCCCCACTGCCACCTCAAGGCCTTAGTGCCGGGCAGTCAATGCCAGCCCACACCCTTCCTGAATGCCAGACCTGTCCTCTCACTCCTAGTGGGCATCTCCTTCCACTGGTGCATGGGCACCTCCAGCCTGGCTCATCCTCTTACCATCTGATCCCAACCTGTCTCTCTACCTTCTCCACCTCAGTGGTGACTCTACCACCCACACATCCAGAAACTTGGCTTCCCCCTTGTCTTAAACCACTCCTCACTGAACTGGCCTCTAATTGGGGTCCACCCATTTTCCTAAATTCTCTTTATCCCTCCTTCTTCATGCCCACCTAAACCCTCATTTAGGCCTCCTCATACACTGGCCTCTTTCCTCCCTAGACTGGGGATTCCTTGAGAGAGGGCACTTTCTCTCTCAGCAGCACATCCCAAAGCCCAGTATATTGGGGCCTGGTAGGTGCTGCTTAAATTTTTCTTAAATAGAATAGATTAGGAAGTCTTCATAATGGAGGAGACATCTGGGGGGTGTCTGCAAGCCTGAGTAGAAGTTAATCCAGTGGACCCAGAGGAATGGAGTGTGGAAATGACGCCCCTGCTTCGTTCCACAGGGACAGAAACCAGTGGGTCAGAGCCTGGGAGGTGTGGCAGAATGAGAAAGTGGTGAGGCCAGGGCAGGGCATGCTGGAGAGGCACTGGGGCCAGATCCTAAAGGGCCTTCAATGCCACACTAAAGAATGTGGTTTGAGGGAGGCTGACTTTATTTACTTTTCTTCTAGATTTGTCTTTTGGGCAAGGAGCACTCTGACGGCACTTGAGGAAGACAAATCGTGAGACCAGCCCAACACTTGGCTCTGAAAACCTTGCCCCGGCCTCTCATGAGATCAGATTTCCCTGCTTTGGGCCAAACTCTTTAAAGCACTTTGGCATCGGGTGAAAGATTGTCAAGGCCAAAGGGCTGGCAGGGGCATGTTGGACGGTGTCCAGGGTCATGCTGGTCCTCTGCTCAGCTCCTGCTCTTATGCCCTAACCTGGTGGCTCCTTTGGAGCAAGGATACGGAGCAGAGGTGGCCAACCTGGGTAAAGGGTGAGTTGGGGACCAAGGGGACCACCCTGCAGAAGACATCTGTTGTTACAGCTGTGGGTTGGGGGCCACAGCAGTGGGAATGCTCCATTGTTGAGGATGTTTGAAACGTGCCCCTGCGGGAGCAGGCTTCACATGCTGGGACCCCACCTCCAGGATGTCATGGCAGCCCCCACCCATCCTGCTTCTTGGAGGATGGAACTCCTTCTGGATGCTCAGTAGCCAGGGATTCTCCATTGAATCACTTGGAATGGGAGCACATGCAAATTGTGAAAAGACATCCGGGCCATGCTAGTGGCCTCAGCATCACTTTTTCTCCTCCTTTCTCCTCCACCGCTGCAGCTGGACTTACCTGCAGCACACACACATAGCAGGGGCCTCCCCTGAGGTCTTGGGCCCACAGTTGCTGCACACTATATATAGTCTTTTATTTGAAAATTATTTGAGTTATTCATTAATGTATACTCGTACTCCTCCTTGAAGGTACAGTGACGGCACCATCTCTCCCAGGAATTCTCCCTGGATTCCCCCAGGCTGTGGGGTGCCCCTTCTCTGTGCACTATCCACCCCTGCTCCCGCTCCTCACTTCCCTCTATCAAAGCAGCAGCCTCTGCTTTGAAAGAACAGAATGGCAGCGCTGGCTGTGCCCTCACTAGACTGAGTTTCTTCAAAATGTGCCTCATTCATGGGAGTGCCCTAAGCCTGGGACCAGCCAGGGGCTCAGTCATGTTCACAAGCCCAGCCGAAGGAGGGTGGGAAGGGTGGTCAGGAGAAGAGAAGCAAGCAGAGGGGTAGGGGGTGACCGCATCAACCAAGGCTTGCATGGAGAAGAGGGTCCAGGTCGGGGATACTCACACTTGCTCACACATCAGAACACCTGGAGGTGCATCCAAGCTCAAAGAGCTGGGCCCACCCCATGCTCCTGATTCAACAGGTCTGTGCTGGGGCCCAGGGACAGGCATCCCCAAATGGTGCTGGGTGATGCTGATGCTGCTGGTCCTGGGACCACACCTTGAAACCCCATCTGGTCTGAATGACGGTGAAGCCAAGAGTAGGAGGAGGATGAAGAAACTAGGACGAGAAGAGGGCTGGAGCCATGCTGTGCAGGGCATTCAATGGTGGCTCAGAGGAGTCACAGCCACTAGGAGGGACAGTGTCCAAAGGCTGGGAGACGGAGACACCGGCAGCCCCAGGTGTGAGCCCCCACCCTGCCCTGACTCTCTTCCCCACATCAGCCAGCTCCTTCCCAGGGCACCGAAGTCCCCTCCTGTGTGAAAGGCACACAATCTCCATGCCCAGCCCACCTCCTCGAGAGGCAGGTGTGCCTCGCAGGGAGAACGGCCACGAGAGGGTTTTGCAGGCTGGAAGGCCCTCAGCAGATGTGTGAGAGTGATTATTATAATCTCCCCTCCCCCAGATGGCATGGTCCGGGTTGCCCCCTCCTCCGCCTGCCAGGCCCCTCTCAGCGGTCCCCGGGGACATGAAGGGCCCAGCTGCCTCCTGGGAGGCCCAAGCCCAACCTCAGCATGGGCTCAGCCTCCAGCCCACAGGGCCTTTCTTCAGGTGCAAGGACCCAAGTAGCTGTCAGCGGGCAGCTCCTCGGCGGGGCACCTCGGGCGGGCGGGAGGCAGTGGTGGGGGTGGCGCAGTGCAACCAGGGAACAAAGGCCGGCTGGGAGTTGGCAGGGCGCCATCAGGGTTCAATGCACAATGGCCCGGGGGGCTGGCGGCTTCGCTCCTGGCCGGCATTTGCATAATGTCTGGGGCAGGAACAGGTGCCCGGTCAATAGGCGATTGTGAGACTGTTCTGTCAAAAGAGAAGGGGCCTGTATTGAAGGCCAGGCTCGCCTATTGCAATGCAAATAGCATTCAAAGCAGACCAGCCCAGCCTGGACTCCCGGGAGCTCAAGCTTCATGAAAGCCACCGAGCCGGCCCGGCTGCTGCCGCTGCTGGTGCCCGCTTTGTCTGAGGCCAAAGGGTGGCATCAGCAGCGGGGGCTGGGAGCCGTAGCAGGGAGTGAGCAGACTGGTCCACCCATCCAGGAGGGCTTCCTGGAAGAGGAGCTTTTGTTGTTGAACTTGGGCCAAAATATTAGAATGAAACTCTGCGGCTTCTCTGAAGAGAGCCCCAGACTAAAGGGGTTACCCCAGACTAAAGGGGTTACCCCAGCTGGGTATGCCACAGCGAAATCTGCAAGGGCCTTGCAAGCGCCTTGCCAAGTCGCTCCCCACTTCTCTTTGCATGGCTCCAAGCCCTAGGATTCTGGCTCCTTTCTCAGGGTACATAGTGAGTACTGCGTGCTCACAAAAGACCAATGCCGCTCTAGTTGCTCCCTGTGGATGAACTCATTCAATCCTCACAGCAACCCTGTGAAGTAGGGTGTATCTGTGTTCTCATTTAACAGATGAGGAAACAGAGGCACAGAGAGGTCAAAGGTTGCACAGCTAACATGAGGCAAAGCCGGAGACTGAACCCAGGCAGTCTGGTTCCAGAAACCATACTCAGCCACCATGCCCGGGCTGCCAATGTGTTCCCTTGCTGCTTCACGAAGGAACTCAAGTCCAGAGGGCAGCAGCTCCTCCTAGCTGGACCAGAATCCAGCTTCCTGGCTTCCTGCCCTTCCTGGCTCCTACCTCAACAGCTGAGAGTACATCAAAGAGGGAAGGTCTGACGTCCACCTCAGGGATGGGCACACGGAGGTGGCACTGGGTGATAATACTGAGATTACATTTTTTTCCAACACCGAAGACAAGGAAACACCCTTTACCTCACAGAACTATTCCAAATTGTAGGGACTTTTGCTTGGCAGGTTGTGTGGGTTCACTGGAAAAGCAAGGCCCTCCGAAGCTGGGTTCAGGTCCTTGCTCTATCACTTACAAACCAGATGACCTCAGACAACTGACTTCTGTTCTCCAGCTCTCAGGTTCCTCATCTGTGAAATGGTTGGTTGTGATAATTTGCATTCCACGGATGTGGGAAATACAGCTCCTTAAAGTGGTTCTCAGTGGTATCTGTTCCCTTCCCCACACCGGACTCTCTTTGGAAGTGAGAGCCTCAAAAATATTCCACCCCACCCAGTTTCATGCTGAGATGAAGAAGCACAAGCATTTGTGTGGGTGTGAATTTATTAAGTCGCTTGCTTGCATTCCATTGACTTTGCAAGATTTTTTTTTTAATTTCTTGAAAATTTTCAGGGAACTCCCCAGGGGAGGCCATTATCCACCACACAATGCTTGTGATGCCTGAATCGGATAAGAGGAAACTCCCTACTGTAATGGGACAGGTTGAGGGACTCTCCAAGCTCTTCACCGGAACCTGGAACCCTGGGCTCCTCTCACCCAAGCAATCAGAAAACATCAGCGCTCACCCCCTCATCAGTGCACAAGAGCTCTCTTCTCCCAGCCACTCTGATAGATCACCAGTGGCTGCCTGCAGGCTGTGTTGAGCAGGGTTCTGGAGTCACATCCCGGCACATTGGGAAAAAATGTCATGGTCCTCCAATGATGCCTGCTGGATGCAATGGAGGCAGTGACTTCCATTACACATTTGTCAGCCTCAATCTAGTGGTGGGGAAATCAAACCCAGAGAAGTGAATTGGTGTTCCCAAAATCACAGGGTGACAATCTCAAAGGTAGAAATATCTATTATTTTTCAAAAAACAAAGTATTTCCTGAATGTTTTATAATGAACCTGTGTTACTTTCGGAATTTAAAAAAATAAGGTATTTTCAGTTAAAGAAGTTTTAAACACATCGAA
This sequence comes from Homo sapiens, assembly GCF_000001405.40. Lineage (NCBI taxonomy): Eukaryota > Metazoa > Chordata > Mammalia > Primates > Hominidae > Homo > Homo sapiens. Next base: position 78,915,891 of record NC_000010.11, read on the forward strand.
ATGACCCTACTATTACCATAAGGAAAAGGGAGGTAGAAGATGTTCGGGGCAAAGCCATGGTGTTCAGGGTGGGATTTATTCAGGGCAGGGATGGCTATGTTTTGAGCAGTGTCAATGCATGCACTTGTACAGTGCTTTACAGTTTCCAAACTGCATCTCACCCCCTTATCCAGTTGGTCCTCCCCAAAGCACTTTGGAAGCAGGAAACATAAGCATTATTTACTCCTACTTTGCATGTGAAAAAAAATAAGACTCAGAAAACATGTGAGTTACCCAAGGTCACAGGGTGAATGAGTGGTTGAACTGAGCTGTGACCCCTGGTGACAGGCTCTGGGAAAAGTTAGGAGGAGCCCGAGGGAGCTTAGAGGGAGCCTCAAGACCTTCCATTCCATTCCATTCCAATCCATTCCATTCTTAGCCAGCGAGAGTCACAGCATTTGCGGAGGCAGCTGACCTAGAAGTCAATCCTGCCATAGCCTGTCTGCGGGGACCTGCTGGCGCTGGGAGTGTGGGCCACCCCCAGAGGTAGATAGAGCATCCTCTGGTTCCCGGGCCCTCCCAACCCCCCTCTGCTGACCTCATCAGCTCCCTGCCACACAATGCACCCTTCTTCTCTTTGGCGCACCCCACCCCCAGCTCTTAATTAAACTAGCTGAAGGATACCCTTCACAACAGAGGCACCAGCAGGGCCTTGTTCCTGAGCTGACCATTATCCTGCCTTGGCTACCAGGACCCACCCTCCAGGAGGCTCCTGTGAAGCCCCAAGGCCCTGCGTCTGATAGGTCTGACACCTGGACACAAACAGTGAAAACATCAGCAACGTAACAAGAAGAACCCAGAAATCATAAGCCCTGTATGGATTTTTTCATGAAAAATCAAATAAACCCATACTCATGGTGAGAAAAGGAAGTATGCTGTGGAAGAAAGACATGGAGTCCTAGCTAGGGTTTAACACCTGATTCTACCATTGACAAACCAGGTGGCCTTTGGTGAATTGCTGCCTGTGCAACTCTCAGTTTTCACAGTTATAAAATGGGAGTCATAGAAAAATGCACGTGAAGAAATGACAGGAAAATGCAAACCAAATGACCAGGAAATTGAGAAGGCTGGATGTAATTGGAGCCAAATGTATCACCCCTGGACCCCAGCAAGAGGAAACCTCCTGCTAACTCTTCCTGCTACAGCCGTTAGAAGTCTGCCAGTGATCTCTGATATGTGCTTAGAAGAGGAAAACAGGTCATAAGGAAGTTTGCTGCTTCTATTCCAATGAATAAATTTCGGAGATGTATGCAGTGACCCCAGCTCTCTTGGTGAAGGAGCAGGCAGAGGTTTGCAGTGAGTTGGTGGGAGCTGGCTGATATAATCAAATTTTATGGTTGCATCCATTGTCCTAATTGGCCATATACTTGAAGTTAAAGGGACACAACACTTGGCCACTGGATTCACAATTCTCACAGACCTGTAAGCACATATAGGGCAGTGTGACTAAAAGGCCCCACATCACAGGGCTATATTCAGAGCTCAGGCTCAGGAGACAAGCAGACCTGAGTTGAAATCCTGATATCCAAACTTTGAGAGCTTCAACCATTACATAACTTTTCTGAGCCTCAGTTTCCCCCTATGTAATAACTTTTACCTACCTATTAGAATTATTGAAGATGAAATGAGCAAATGTCAGTAAAGGCAAGGTGGAAAATCAAGCACATTCATAGTTCCCAAACCACTCCCCACACTGCTTCCAGGAGTTCTTCCTTAAATGTAGCCTGACCATGTCCAGTCCCTACTTAAAATCCCAATGGCCTCTCATTGCAATGAAATCCAAACTCTTTAACACGATACTTCCCCTGTATTTCTCACCAACTACATTCTTACCAAGGCTCCCCCAAACTGTGCTCCAACTACACCCAGTCACGGGGTCGATGCTTTCCTCTGGGCACCATCCCTGCAGGTGCTTACCCTCCCGCCCTGTAAGCCCTTCCCCCATTCCTCATCTGCTTAGTTCCCAGCCTCTGGCCCCAGCTAAAAGAGCCAAGGAAGGCTTTGCCTTTGATTCTCTCCTTTTTGAAACGTTAATGAAATTTTTTTTGAATAGGCAGAACATTCACAATATTCAAAATCCAAAAGGCACAAAGAGGTATATAGTGAGGTGTCCCCTCCTCCCATGCCTCTCAGCCTCCCAGGTCTAGCTTTGCTCCCCAGAAGCAGCCATTGTTCACAGGTCTTCATCCTTCCAGAGGAATCATATAGAAGCCTATACATGTGTATACATATATCTTCATTTTCTCCACTTTTATACAAATAATAGAAGAATTTGAATTCCATCTCATTGCGTGCCTTGTCCTTTTCACTTAAAAATACATATTGGAGCTCAGTGCATGCATATTAGTGCATAGAGACACCTCCCATTACCTTTTTGTTTAATGACTGCATAGTGTTCAATTGTACAGATCCACCATAAATTATTTAGCCAACCCCCTAGTGATATTTAAGCTATTCCCAATCTTTGGTGATACAGAGAATGCTTCATGTAATAATCTTGCACCTGTACAGTAATCTTGTACATGTAGAAGTGAGATACATTTCTAGAGGCAGATTTGCTGGGTAGAGAAGCTGGGACACACGTAGTGCCAAGATATTGCCAGATCACCCTCCAGACAGGCTGGGTCCCATTGGTCCCCATAGTATTTACACCACTGCACACTCCATCCACCCTCCAGCAATATGTGTCTGTCCCACACACTTAGCAACATAATCGTGAGCAATCTGGGGTGGGGGGCAGCATCTTTGTGACATTTCCACGGACACTTCTGTCATCATGAGTGAGAGGGAGCCTTTTTTCACACATGATTAGTTTGAGAGCCATCTGAATTCCTTTTTTGTGAGCTATTTGTTCATATCCCTTGCCTGTATTCCTATTAGGTTGTTTATCTTTATTCTTAATGATTTGTAGGAGCTCTTTATTTACCAGGGAAATCAATCTTTTGCTATGGCTTAAGTTGCAAATATTTTTGGTCCTTTGTGTAAGGCTTCCTAAAGAAAGTGATACTTGAAAGGAATTAGATGCCTCTCCTCCATGTCAGGTGACTGCTGAATGAATTGAGCGATAGGTGATTGGTTGGTTGATTGATTGAAATGAATGAATGAATGAATGAGACTTGTCCTGCACAGCTTGTCAGTTAGCCAAATACCCAAGTCAGAACTGAGCAAATTGAGCAAATTAATAGAACTGAAATCCCACCAGGACTTAGTAGCCCAGGGACCTCCCAGAGCCTCCCTCTCCTTCTCCGCCCACCCCAACCCCCTTCCCTGGACAGACCTTTCCATCAGCCAAAGCTCCACCAGGACAGGAGAGCAGGGCCGCAGCTCCCATTACGGAATTTATCTCCCTTGTCGGCCTGTCAGAAACAGAGAATTTATTGCCTCATTCACTTTGAACAAAACCTGTTTCTGGAGACTTTTATGATGGAGGAGTAAGGAAAGGAGTGAAGTGAGGGAGTAAGTGGGGATGGAAGGGATGTGGCCCAGAATATGTAATCTCACAGAGAGAAGCACTTCGGCAAGAGGCCAGAAGTGGGCTCCAGGCATCTCTGGTCTCTCTAGCAACCTTGCTCCCTGCTGGGCAGAGAGTCACTCACCAATGTTTGTGGGATAGAGATTGGGCTTTATCTTGCAGAAGATGAGGGCTTGGCCTCTCCCTAACACTCAAGCTCCTAGTGATCTAGACTGTCCCCTGGGTTCTGTCACACTGGTCTCCTCTCTGCTCAGCCAACAGCCAAACATGGCTGACTGAGAACCAGCACAAGCCGCACACTTACTCTATGCCTGGCTCTGGGCTGTCACGCCATGTGTGTTAGTTCCTGCCAGTTTCCCGGTGCCTGATGCAGTCAGGACAGTGAGTATCCCCATTTTATAGGGGATGACTGAGGAATGACACAAAAGACAAGCAACTTGCCCAAGATCACAGCCAGGCTTCAAACACAAGTAGTCTGATCCAAAACTCATCAGCTCAGCCACTGCACCCACTGCCCAGCAGACATCCAGCTGGGAAGAGGTTGTGGGGAGAAGAGCTGGGCCATGAGCACGTTCCAGGACAAGCTCCCCGATCCAAGGCACTGGGAGAGGCCTCCCTGAAGGACGCTTAGGGATAGCTCTGGGAAGAGGCAGGGAGGGAGGTGAGCACAGAGCCTTCAAGACAGTAGGACAAACAAGTCCAGCATAGGAAGCATAGGCAGACATGGGCAGGTGTGGACAGGTATGGGCAGGCTTGGCATGGGCAGGTGAGGGCAGGTGTGGGCAGGCCAGACATGGCAGGTGTGGGCAGGTGTGGGCAGGCACAGCAGGTGTAGGCAAGTGTGAGCAGGTGTGGGCAAGTGTGAGCAGGTGTGAGCAGGTGTGGGCAGATCAAGCATGTGCAGGCATGGCAGGCGTGGGCAGGTGTGCAATGTGGGCAGCTGTGGGCAGGCCCAGCACAGGCCCCACCTCCTCTCTCCCTTGAGTGATGCCCCATCCTCAAGGGCAGCCTCATTGACCCTCTCCATTAAGTCCCCACTTTCCTGCTTGTCTGTTCCCTGCATCTCCCATTCAGCATCTCTCGCTCCTTTCACTCATCACACCTCTCCTGCACCTTGTTGCATGCCAGGCACCGCACCAGCCACTGGGAATATGACCATTAATAAGGCCCATGAATAAATCACGGCATCTTCTAAAGGGAAGAGCAGTTCTAAGTGCCGTAATAAAGTGTGTGTGAATGCAGAGAGGGAGCAATTAAAACTGTCTAGGAGAGGGAGGACAGGCAAGGTTCAAGAAGGCGCTTCTGAGATGCTGACACCCCAGCTTGGCCTGAAGAGCCGGCAGACAATGGCACAAGGGTGACTCCGGCATAGCCCACTGCCTTCAGACAGAGCAGGCTGTGTTCTGGGAGCCCAGGACCTGACTGAGGAACACAGGTCAATTGGCCAGAGCACGAGGGGCCTGGAAGACCCAGGAAGGACTTGGGGCTCCTTCCTCACAACTGGGAGCTTGTGATGGAGATGATGGGTGTGACATGGTCAGGCAAGCATGCTAGAAAGACCCCCTTCTAGCCCTGGACTCCCTAACTCACCCTACATTTCTTCAGAGCCCTTATTACCATCTGCATATTTGACTTATTATGTTGTATTGTATGAAATGACCATTCTTGTAGGTCAAAATGGGAGAATATTGGCAAGCTCATTCAGTTAAACCTATGGTGTTTTTTGTTTGTTTGTTTTGTTTTGTTTTGTTTGTTTTGTTTTGTTTTGAGATGGAGTCTCGCTCTGTCACCCAGGCTGGAGTGCAGTGGCACGATCTCGGCTCACTGCAACCTCCACCTCCCGGGTTCAAGCAATTCTCTGCCTCAGCCTTCCAAGTAGCTGGGATTACAGGTGCCCGCCGCTACGCCCAGCTAATTTTTGTATTTTTAGTAGGGACGGGATTTCACCATCTTGGCCAAGCTGGTCTTGAGCTCCTGACCTCATGACCCACCAGCCTCAGCTTCCCAAAGTGCTGGGATTACAGGCGTGAGCCACCACGCCTGGCCAAACCTATGGTTTTATTTATGTATATTTTAGATTTATTTGTTATATGTACTTAGTTATATCTTATATCCCTGGAGGCTAGAAGAGTGCCTGGCATAGAGTGCCTGCTCAGTAAGAATTTGCAGGGTAAGTACAGGAATGACCAAGGAGGGACTGGGGAAATGAAATTCCTGTTTAGTCTCCCCTCCTAAACATGGAAGCTCCCAGAGGACAGGGATCTTAAACTCAGCCAAAGACAGCAACAGACCTGCCTCCATTCTTCTTACTTTCCGAGTGGCTCTGAAGTAACTGACTTTTGTAAGCTTTGGTTTCTTCACCAGTAAATAGGAGCAAGGGCAGATGCCTCCATTGTGTGTCATTAGGATCATATCAGAAGTCATGGAAAATGCTCCACATAGTACCAGACAGGCAATAGGTTCACCATCAATGCGATTTCCTTCTTTATAAGCTAGACCCTATTTTGCCCTATTCATACATAAAGACTCACAGCATCAAGACTTCTTTTTTAATGTGAACATTGACATACATTGAGTTTGACAAGACAGAGACTCTACCCACGTCCAGTGAGGTGTGCTCCCATGAGAGCAGGGGACTCTGAGTAAGCGGATGTGGGTCCCATCTGCCTCAGCCCCTCCCTGGATCTGTAGCTCTCAGAAGGTCATTCAGCCTCTCTCCTGGGCTTCTGCTCAGCAGAGAGCTGGAGGCAGGCCAGCCCCTCTCTAGGTTCTTCCAGCTCACTTGCTTTGGGGAAGCATCCTTTGAAAAGTCCCTGGCCAGGTGCGGTGGCTCATGTGTATAATCCCAGCACTTTGGGAGGCCAAGGCAGGCAACTCACTTGAGCCCAGGAGTTTGAGGCCAGCCTGGGCAATGTACTGAGACTCTGTCTCTACAAAAAATAAAAAGATTTGCTGGGTTTGGTGGTGTGCACCTGCAGTCCCAGCTACTAGAAAGGCTGAAGTAGGAGGATGGCTTGAACCCAGGAGTTCAAGGTTGCAGTGAGCCATGATTGAGCCACTGCACTCCTGCAACCTGGGTGACAGAGTGAGACTCTGTCTCTTTAAAAAAGAAAAGGAAAAGCTCTGTGCTCTCTAGAATCTCAGCTTCCATTTGATCCTAGGATTTGGGGGGCAATGTGCTCACTTGGAGGAAAAAGCAGGGCTGCCGCCTGCGCCCCAGCCAGCACCCCACCCCACAGCCTTCCCAATCCACCATTGCCTAGTGGGTGGCCGGCAGGAGTGGTCTCCAGGAGTCTGAGTCCTGCTGGGCTGCCACAGAATCAGCTCCCGGAGCGTGCAGACAGAGCCGGCCTCCATCTCAGTGGCACCTCCACCCTTGTGTGCCCTGTAGGTCCCTGATATTGTGACTGGTTTTGATCCCATGTTTTGACATAGCCATGTGGATGTGGAGAGACTTTGACTCAGGCTAAAAACCAAACATTCTATTTTCAGCTCTTTTTTTATAGTTACCAAGGAAGGTGTTGAAACGACCACCATCAACTTCCTCTATCCGTCACCTGTACAGCAGCAATCACCAGGTCCCACTCTTAGGGTGGGAGTGGCAATGGTGTGAGAATTAAATGGGGAATGAAATATTTTTTAAAAGGAGGGAGGGGGCAGGGATGGCGGAGAGTCAAGGAGGGGGCAGGGACATCTGTCAGACACATTACCTGGACGTAAAGATCAACAATTTTCATTTTGAGTTGGGTACATGAATGCAGCCAAATCAAAATATTCCCCCATCAAAACACCCACCTCTGTGCCTTCCAGGAGACTCACCCTCCAGATTGCAGGCAAGGCTGTCGACTAGTAACTCAGGCAGAAAGAAGAGAGGCTTCTTACTAATCCTAGGAGGTGGCTATACTAGTATCACTCCCATTTTACAGATAGAAATTTGAGGCTCAGAGAGTAGCAGGAACCTGCTCAGGATGGCCCACTGTGCTGGAGGTGGAGGAGATCCAAACCCAAGTTTTTGGATTCCTGGCCCAGGGCACTGCTAGCAGGGGCACCTTCTGGTGTCCCAGGGCAGGGACAGCAGTGGCACGTGGGGAGAGCTGGGGAGCTGGCATCAGTGGAGACAAAGAATGCAGAGAGCCAGAGAGAGTGAAGGAGGCAGCCCCTTGATCTACTCAGAGGCAAATGTGCCCAGATCACCTCCTCCAGCAGGCAGAGCCATTGGTGATGGTGGACAACCTGCATCTGGCCAGGGGAGCGTGCACTGCTGACCATAAAGGCAGCTGCGGAACCAGAAATCTACCCCAACCGCGTGTTAAACAACCGGCCCATCCAGCTGTCCATTCGTCAAGGTAATCGTGCTCCTTCTGCCCATCAGACAGATTTATTAGGAGCAGCAGCAGGAGCCCATCAGAGCCCAGTCACAGCACCCCCCCACTCCCATCAATCCCAACACAGGGCGGGCGAGAGACAGAATATATGTAAGGTCATTTGGAGATGGAAAAAAATCATTCACAGCACTCCCGAAATAGCCGATCTCCGCTTTGCAGCAATTGCCACCTTCTTGGCCCTAAATCAAATTCTGCTGCGAGAAGCAAACTCAATCTTCTCTCTCCCAAGTTTTGCTTTTTATGAGATTGGCAATAAATTGGGGTGTGGACAGAGAAAAGGCACCAAAGGTCACTGGAATCTGGACATGCCTGTGCAGCCCTGAGGGCACAGGAAGGCAAAGGCAATGAGAGGTGAGAAGAGCTCCTGGGTAGGAACAGGGCTGGTGGTGACAGAAGCATCAGGAGGGCCTGGCTCTCTCTAGGATGACAAGCGCAGCCCTGAGTCAGTACTGAGTGGACACATAAACCCACGAGCAAACCAAACCAATTCCTGACTTCATGAATCTTTCATTCTAGTTAAAGAGAAGACACTCTTGCTGCCTTGTTATATGTAAACAATGAGAGCCCTCGCACTTATGGTGGCTGTTTGTGATGATCACAGCCTGGGGCACGTTTAAACCCTCCAGGGTGTCAGGAGAGTGCCTGAGATGAAGAGCCTTTTAAACTCCTCCCACAAAGGTTGCCGTTTCTCTAGGCTCCACCTTTCCAGCGCTTCTCTGTTCACTCAGTCACAAGGCTTCTCAACCCAGGCACTAATGGCATTTGGGGCTAGATAATTCTTTGCTGTGGGGAGCTGTCCTGTGTAGGGTAGGATGTTTAGCAGTGTCCCTGGCCTCTATCCACTAAATGCTGGCAGCACCCACCAGTTGTGACAATGAAAAATGTCATGAGACATTGCCAAATGTCCTCTGAGGAACAAAACTACCCCCACTGAGAACCACCTCTGCCAGGGGCTCAAACATCTGAGGGTGGCCCCTCTCTCTGCAACCCCAGGCCTCTCTGCTAAGCTCCTACTCATCCCACAGAGCCATACGCCTGCCAGATACTGCCCCCTGGATGGCACCTCAAATGCAGTAAGCCCCATCCATGGTCCCCCCAACACAACCCCTCCAGGGCACCTTCTCTGACCACGAAACTCGTCTTTGGCAATGGATTCTATCTCTGCCACTTCTTGCCTGGGCAACCCAAAACAAAATATATGCAGGTATCTCATCTGAAAAATAACAATAGCAGTAATAATCACCTCCTAAGGCTACAGCAGGAACAAAATCATATTATATAGAAAAAGGCATCTCTGAGATCATTTGTCTGCCATATGATGAGAGTTTAATAGATGCTTATATAAAAATCTTAAAATAATTAAGTAATCCACATAAAAAGGTTAAAGCATGGCCTTGAGACATAAGCAAATGAAATACTGCGTTTCAGTACGAGAGACGTCACAGTCACTTGCTGACATATAGATAATTCAGTAAAAGAATCAATGAATGGATGAGTGGGTAATCAGAAGCGGTCCCTGATACCCAGGAAGTGGCGACATTTGCCAGCGAGTGCCTTTCATGTGCCGAGCCCACATGGCCCTCCTTGGCATTTGTCCGCCATCCACCACAGGTGAGCTTGTGCATGGCAGGTGCTCAGTGAGGCCTTATTGGATAAACACCAACAGAGAATGCTAATTTTTCTCACATCTATCAAGGGAGAAGGAGAAAAAGGAGGGAATGTATGTAGGAGTTAAGTGAGAACAGACTTCAAAAGGACCAGACTCCAGGAAATCCTATCCATCTGCCTGACAGGGGCATTGGAGTCACCAGAGCTTCCAGGCACAGCAACACTGCTCTCCAGGGACAGTTGGATCTCCATGTTTTCCCACTGCCAAGGAACGAGATGGGTGGAATAGAAACCAACCTATATAAAAACCAGTTCTGAGATGTGTTCAGCTCCTTTTATGAAACAAGAATTGTGGTATAACCAACATTGTCCAAAGTAGAAATCCATAGCTTAGATTGGAACCCTGCAAAAAACAACACAGCCCTCCTTGAGGGCACAGCCCAGTAAGAACATTTACTATCATGTAATTTTCCTGGCTGTGTACTTGCTGGAATGGGGTTTAGCCACTGTGGTTTCAAGTCTCTCCCGATAGCCTTCCCTTTGCTGAGTAATTGTAGGCGAGTCCCTTCTCCTCTCTAGGCTACAGCGAGTTACCTTATCTTTAACATGAGTGGTTGGCCTAGATGATTTCAAAATCCTTCCCAGCAATAACATCCCATAGGTTGAATCATCAGCCTGAGGTTTAGTCCCAGGCAGTGGTGTGTGGGAGAGAGCATGCTCGTGTGTATGTGTGTGTGTGTATTTGCAGTGTCCTTTAAGTTGATTGATAATGTCTCATATCAGATGCCAACCAATAAATGCCGATGGTAGAGACTTCACTTCTAGCATCCACTGACTTCAAAACAGATAAGGACTCTGGGAAAAGCATGACACCTGTAACATGCATAAATACGCCTGGCAAGCTTTAGAGCCCCCAAAGTCTTTTTTTTTCCTGGCAGGTATGCTAAACGTGTGCACATAATTGTGTGACAAATATTGCATACAGCTTTGCTTTACAAAAGTCAGGTGTCTCATTTACCCAGGAAAGCTGCTGTGTCTCTAATAAACGAAGCCACAAGACCAACACTTCTTTTCCGAATAATTATCTTCTGAAGGCTGCATGGACAGAAGATGAGAAAATCAAATTAGTCTGAGACAGCAAAAAGGAAAGTAAAGCTAAATACACACAAGTATGGCCACTAGAATTACAGGGAAGTCCTTCTGGGATGGTGGCCTCTTTGATGGTAGGTAAATAACAGGAAAATCTAAAAACCCATTGTTCTCCCCATCCTACTGTTTTTAGGTTTGCTGCTGCCTTATCACTACTGAGGGATTTATTAAATGTAAATCTTAAAAGAGGCTCTACAAGACTTATATATAAATATTCTCCTATCTCTGTCATTCTTGAGTTGTGTCTCTGTTCCACCCATTCCCACAGTAACCCACCTAAGAAATAAATAAATAAAATGCTGTCATTCCCTTTCTGAAAAACCCCCAGTGACCCTTAGCAGATTGAAGTCCAAATCCCCGAGTGGGGCCTTCAAGGCTCTGCAGGGTCCCCAACTGGCCCCCCCTTTGCTGTCAATCTCCCTTGCACCTTTTCTCCCAGGATGCTGTCATCTCACCTGAAGGCACACGGAAAATCTCAGCCACTCCCCCACCCCAAGCCTTTGTTCATGCTGGTTCCTTTACCAGATTGGCCTTTCCCAGTCCTTTATTTGCCTAAGAAACTCCTACTCCTCTTTAAGACCTTGCTGAAATGTTGATTCCTTGGGAGAATTGTCCCAAATGTCCTCCTTCTCTTCATCAGCAAGTATTTGTTGTGGGTCCCCAGCCCCAGGTATTAATGGCATAGAAATCAGTGGTGAGGGAGACACACTGAGAGACTGGGAACCAGAAGATGTTACCAAAGAGGCACAAGTTCCCTGGGGAGCAGACCCTGAGTGCAGTGCATGGCACACAGAGGGCGTTCTTAAGCATCGGTGGAATAAACGCTCCAGGGATGGATGAGTAATCCGCCTGGGACACTGGGAAGCCATGGGGCCCTCCCAGGAGCCATCAGAAGCAGCCGCAGGTGGAGTCCTCTGGGATGCCACAAGGAATGCCACCCCAACCCGGGCAACTGGTCTGGCTGCTGACACTGCCAAGGCCCAGGGGAGGATGGGCCCTGAACTGAAGCTGAGCGGGTCAGGGGCTGGCCAAGTGGGTGGAGGCAGAAAGAGCCTGAAGGAGGCATGCTGAGCCTCACCTTTGGGAGACAAGAGGGGGCTCCCACACAGCCCCAGGAAGGGAGACCAGGAGGCCAGTCCACATCTCCTAAATGACCAGCAAAAGATGGGTGGCTTGAAACACCCAGTGAGCAGTGGCTCTTTGGCCTGGTTCCCCCGCGGCAGCTCTGGGTGCTGCTTGCACGCAGACAGCACCAGGTGCACGGTCACATGGGTTAGTAAGTAAATGAACAAATGCACAAATGAACCAGGTTGTCAGGATTGCAGCACTTGGCTTTTGGTGCATCTCTCAGTTTCCCTTTAAAAGAAAAGTCTCCAAGGACAGTAAGATGAGGGACAGGTGAGATGGGGGCACACCAGAGGTCATCTTAGTTTTTCTCCCCTTAGGTCCATTAAGGAAAAAGACCCTCTCAGGGTCCTTTCTGACCCTCAGGAGTGGAGTCCCAGCCTAGAACCCCAAAGGTATTCCATAAAGGAGTGTTGCATGCTTGCAGGGGGCCTATGTTTCTGTGATTAAGAACATGACCTCTCCCACATCCCCCTCCAAGGTCACACTGTCTGTCTCACCGTGACCCCAATAGCAAGCCTCTGGTGTGTGCTTTGGTTCATGAAATGCTTCTTCTGGTGGGAAAATGCCATTTTTAGATAGACAGACATCAGTAAAATATAGCCATGACCTAAGCTCCAGCTCAGACTAAGGAAGCCCCACAAGCTCCATTTCCTAGCACTGGGGCGTCTCATTCCCCTTTCCTATCCAAGCAGTTGGGGAAAGCTCTGCAGGGGAGTGTGCACACCAGCCAGGCAAAGGATGGATTCAGGCAGAGAAGAGGTGAGGCAGAGAAGAGAGTTCAGGAAGAGAAGAGGTGAGGGATTAGGACCAGCCCAGACACCTGAAAGAGAGAAAATCTGGCCCTTCCCTCCTGATGGGCAAAGAGAGCCCCACAGTGGCCACAGGATCTGCAGGGAGTCCATGGCACAAGGAGAAGAGTTGGGAAAGAATAGAGAAGGCAGTGGGGGTAGACTGAGGATGACTGGGACCCCGGGCTGAGGAGGCCGACTGAATTCAACAGCCCCTGGGAGCCATGGAAGCTGCTGGAGCTGAAGAAGTGCATGGCATGAGCATTGGGTGGACTGCAGGGCAGAGCCCGGAGCAGAAAAGCAACACAGAGTTGAGCCTGCACCCAAGGCTGGTCAACTCCGGCCTGCCTGGGTAAGTGCTGAGTGCTGCAGGGAGGCATGCTACAGATGTGGGACTCCATTGCATCTTTGGGGAGAGATCAGGAAGAGCCCTTGTAAGCCCCTGCCTGGTCACAGAAAAAATCTCGTCTGCAATAAGCAAGCAAGCAATGCGGCGGGGAAAACATTTGCTTAGGATGCACACAGTCCAGGCTGGATCCCTTGTGTCACACCAGGCTCCCAACTGTGTGGAGGTAAGGGCAGGCTTGGGCCAAAATCCCAGCATTGAGTCTAACAAAATGCCATGGCAGGGCCTTTATCAATGTTCATGAAACGGAGAGCCTCCTCGACCTCCCTGAGCCTTGGTCCCTTCTCTTGTAAAAACCACCCATGTTAGGATGATATTTGCACTGCACTTAGAACATGGTAGGAGCTCCACAAGTGGTTTTGTGACTACTTATCTTTCACGGATAAGGAAAGTGATCAGTAGAAAAACTGTGAGAGGGAATTAGCAACTGATCAAATGTCTAGAGCAGTTTTTAAATTTTTGCATAACATTACTTTCCAAAACTTGCCCATGTCAGTAATTTCTTCTGGTGCATCCGGACCACCTATGGTCAGTATTGAAATTGTCCTCAATAGAGGGTTTAGTGGCATTCCTGGAGTCACATGGCAGGTCAGAGGTGGACCAAACAACAGATGCCCTGCCTCCCAGCCCAAGACCTGCCCAAAACTTGACCATGTTGTCCCTGCTAAAGAGCACAGGGACCCAGTGCTGGGGGGCTGTCTTCTCTCAGGCCAGTCCTCCAGGGAGTAAGGGATCTGGGCAGGCAAGACTGGAGGCCTGACAAGAAGGTGTGTCCCAGGAGGACTTTGTGCAGAGCTCAAAAGGATGGACAAGTTTGGCCTTGGTTGAGGTTGCTTCCTGTTTCTAAGACAGTACAGTGGCCCTTGGTGTTGTAAGGATCCTGTGGGCAGTGATGCTGCACTCTGAGTAGCCTCTGGAGCCAGTCTGAAATCTGGAGTGGGAGTTGGGGGGCAGGTCGGGGTGGCACAGCTCAGCCAGACACTTTGGGGTTGAGAGGCAGTTTCCAGATTCAGCCAGCACCTGGAGTGATAAGAAGGGAAACTGAGGCAGGAAACCTGTCACACAGCTTGAGTCAATATAGCTGACCCCTGCCCTGCAGATTCTGAGCCCAAACTGCCCAACAAGTTCCAAACCTGCCTGCTTGTGGGCAGAAGCTCCTGAGGCCTCCCTGCCCAGCTGGGCCTGCCCAGACCCTACATCTCCAGGAAAGGATGGCAGTGGCTGGGACAGGCCAGCACTTCAGAAAGCTTGCCTGCCAAAGGAGCCACAGCTCATGCCTCACAGGCCTCACGAAGACCCATGAGCTCACCAGGCAGGGGCTGGGAGGGCTTGAAGTCAAATGCCATCGGTCTCTTTTGATATCATCCTTAAATTAGCAAACTGTAACCATTGGGGGAAAGTGGGTAAAGGGACCACTCTGCGCTCTCTTTGCAAATTCCTGTGCATCTAAAATTATTTCAAAATGAAAAAATACAAAAACATGACATTGGTTTCAAAACTGACCTCCTCAGCTCCTGATGCCGCCAACCTGGCAATCCTTCAGCAACCCCGCCCAGCACCCAAGCAAAGCCCCTGATCCAGTGAGGACCTTTTGAAAAGAAACTGCCCCCAGACTTTGCTCCTCTCCCTCTTTCCACCGCCTCTGCTCTGAGTCAGATTTGCATTGCCTCTCACCTCACAGTTGACCCCTTCCTAGTTAGCCTCTGACCTCCACTGTCTCCCTCTACAGTCCACACCCTATGTCACCAGTGGAAGGCATCTCAACCTCAGCTCTGCTTCAAACCCTCCAGAGGGCCCCATTCCTTTTGGGATAAAATTCAGCTCCTCAGCAAGCTCTTCAAAGTCCACCCCAATGTGACCTCAATCCACACATCTGTCCAGTTTCATCTCATCACACGAGCCCCACCTCGATGGAACCACAGACTTAGGTACCAGCCCCAATAGACCACCAGACGGTCCTCAAAAATGCTACCCACTTGTCCAGCCTCTCCTCCTCCGCTCAAGCTGTTCCATCCATCTGGTAGACCCTTCCCTAACCACCTCTGTTCATTAAAATTCACCTCTTCCTTCAGTACTTAGCTCCAATTTCTTTTCTACTTTGACCCTGCC